>NC_000006.12:11726666-11878181 GCF_000001405.40 Homo sapiens
ATTGTTTAACGGGTAGACTTTCAGTTTGGGAAGATGTAAAAGTTCTGGAGATGGATGGTGGTGATGGATGCACAACAAGGTAAATGTACAAAATGCTACAGAGCTTAAAAATGATCAAAATGGTAAATCACTTAAAATCGTTAAAGTTGTAAATATTGTGTACCTTTTACCACAATTTAAATGTATCTAAGGAGGTGTCAATTTTAGGGTCATATAAATGTAGGGTTGGCATTTAGTTCCTCGCCTGGGCCCTGCTGGTATCACTCTGCTTTCCCAAACTTGTCTGGATGTTCCTCCCAGATTGAGAATGAGGTGACTAGAACAAACAATAATTATCATCATTGTTACTAATATTAGAATTCTTTTTCTTTTTTTAGATGGAGTCTCACTCTGTTGCTCAGGCTGGAGTGCAGTGGTGCAATCTCGGCTCACTGCAAGCTCCGCTTCCTGGGTTCAGCGATTCTCCTGCCTCACCCTCCCGAGTAGCTGGGTTTACAGGCGTGCGCCACCATGCCCAGCTAATTTTTGTATTTTTTGTAAAGACAGGGTTTCACCATGTTGGTCAGGATGGTCTCAAACTCCTGACCTTGTGATCCGCCCACCTCAGCCTCCCAAAGTGCTGGGATTACAAGCATGAGCCACCATGGCCAGCCTAGAGTTCTTTAAGATATGCGTTCCATGGATGCATTACAGGATGCCCACAGTGATTCTTACCTGCATGGCTACTTCTCATGGCAGGACAAAGAAGGTATATGGCATAGAAAATAAACAGTTTCAAGTAGATAGGGCTAGGAGTTTGGAGTCAGTGAGGAGCTCTGAATGTACTCCAAAAAGTTGCATCACTTAGTTCACTTTGTTTACTTTATATAGTTGAAATTAGGGCTTCTGAATTCCCATGCACATTTATGTAAGATAGTCTATAAATAAGGACATCCCCCCAGAGGCTTGGAAAATTTCTGTTTACTTCATGTTTGTTTCCTTCAGCATAAGGCTTGTAAAAGAAAGTTCCCGAGGTAAGCTAATGAATTGTGTACTTTCACAGATAAAGTGTAAGGAAAGTTATAGGTGTGGTACCTGACAGTAGGAAAATTAACAGAGATACAGAGTATGAGGCAAGATGATAGTAATTTACCAAGGGTACTCAGCAGAGAGGCGTGAATGAGGACAGAGTCACACTGTTAGTTGACATCACTTCTTTATGGCTTGCCTGAATATGAGGGGAAGGTGGGAAGAGAGAGGGGAAAGAAGAAGGAAGGAAGGAAGGAAGGACGGAAAGAAGGAAGGAAGGGAGGCAGGGAGGGAGGGAGGTAGGTAGGGAGGGAGGGAGGGAGGGAGGGAGGGAACTTTGCATTCAACATGTCTTCTATTTCAGCCAATGTCAGCCCTCCATTCAATCTTGCCCCCAAGTTTGATCCCATGAAATCATATCTATACTAAACTTCCTTCTAAATGTTTCTTCAGCGCACACATTTCACAATCTTCCTTCAGCCTCCTTCATTCCATTTGGGTTTCTGTCATTGTCTACCAACTAGGCTTTCTTGCTCCTTTCAACCCACTTCCCCTATTGCAAGCCATCAGTAATCCGGTAATCTTCCTAAAAGCGAGCTCTGTCCACAGCCCTCCCCTGCCTGCAGTGAATCCCAGGATCCCAGCTGCTTACCTGGCCTGGCCATGCCCCGCTTCCATCTGGAGATCTGCAGTCCATCCATATTGAACCCCTTTGTTTCTTGAGTGAACTGAGCGCTGCAGTTTCTTGGCTTTCACACCTGCTGTTGTCTTCACTGGGTACACCTCTGACCTTTTTGTTTCCTGGAACCTACTTCTCTTTGCCCTGTGTCTGGCTGAATCTTACTCACGCTTCAAATCTCAGCTTAAAAGTCTATTTCTCTAGAAAAGATTTCCTGAAGCTCTCTCCCCCAACCCTGATTCGGGTAAATGCTTACGCCAGGTGCTTCCTCCACCCTGGAACTTACCTTTGTTACTTATTTGATTGTTTTTCTCACTAGCTTGAAAGCTCTGCAGGGGCAGGGACTGTCTCTGTCAGGCACATTTATTTGCCAAGTGCCCAAAATGCAGCAGGTTCTTTGAATTTTGAAATGAATGGCTGTGTTGGGTGGCTCTGTAGGACACTGCTATGGACGGCTCTCAGTCGCCTGACTCACCAAGACCACCACAGGCTCTGGAAATTTGGAAATGTACCCAGTGGCCTTTCAAGTTTTGGTTAATCTCACTTTACTAATACTTTGAAGAGGCCAATGACGTTGCCCCTCAGTTCAAAGAGCAATTTCACATCTTTCTTGAGCCATCTGCTACGTGAACCTCTGTGAGTTGGACTGGGTGGGCACCAAATGGCAGCCAAAAATTAATCTTTTAGGGTCTCCTTATCCTAAATCTTAGAGCATTATAATGGCTGTCAAGAAATTCATAACTTCTGCGTCTTATCAGTAGAGAAATACCGACGTCTGTGGGTGGCAGATAAACAGATAACGGAGTTTTGTGGGCTTTGGGCATATAATTCTTTCTTTCGGTGTTAACCCTCAGGTCACGTCTTTCCAGCCCAGGAGAATAAATCAAACAGAAAGAGTCAGGAGAAACTGCAAGGCTAGAGTGTTAGTCAAATAGTTTACCTAGATGTTGAGGTGTCGGCAGTGATGAGAGTCATTGGGGTGGCAACCTCATCACGGCATTTAGAGCTGTTGCCCAACCCCTCCCTGAGACACCCCCTTCCAGTTTGAAGCCTCTCTGCCTTCAGGGCCCATGGTTTTCTAACTTCCTGCCCTTCTACTACCTGGTAATTCCTTGCTACCTTTGCTGCTCCTTCCCCCTCCTGTCCCTGAGAGGAGGGCCTTTCCCTGGTGTTTGCTTCTTACTTATCTTCCCTCTCTCCTCTCTCTCTTTCCAGCAATCTTGTCACTCCACGAGGGTTCAACTAGCTGCATCTCCTCAGCCCCATCTTTCTTGAGACTGCAGGGTCTGAATTTCTGAATGGAAATTCCTCCAGGCAGGTGATTCTCAATCTTGTCTCAAAATTAGAATTGACTTGAGGGCCTTAAAAATTCCAATGCTGAGGGCATATCCTGAACCAATTAAACCAGAGTATTTTTGAAATGAGACCTAGATATGGGATATTAAACTGACTGTTTTACTTATACCCAAGACGATTACTTTCACAATTCATTTTCATCTATCAATGGAATCACCATTTTTCTTGTCTACTAACTTAAAATTTTTAGAATTATCCTAATTTTTCCTTTTCATTTGTGTGGTACATGTCAATCAATCCATAAAACCTATTCTGTTGTTTCAACAATGTGTCTCAGGCATGTCTCTCATTTCTGATTCTACAGTTTTACTCTCTTCATGCCGTTATTATTTCTGATTTCTGTTACAGGCATTTTGGTTGAATAAGAACTAAGGTTTGAACAGGAAAGATGAGAAGAGCAGGAGATGAGATACCCTCTCCTCTCCTAGTCCTCCACCTCCATCCCTCTTCAGTTTGGATCCTGGCTGGGCTGGACCCCGCATGTTGACAACAAGGATGTGTTGTGTGGCATCTTTTTAATTAATTTTCATATATGAATTTACAGGTAGGGTAAGGATTTCTTCTGTGGAAAATGGTGCTGAGATTCCAATCCCTGCTGAGTTGAGGTTATAAAGCTATGGTTGACCTGGATGATCTCAGTTGAAGGTCATATTTTGGAAACGGTAACAGTGGCTCTGGTAGGGAGTTCACAACATGGTTGGTTCTGAGCAGGACCAACCATGTGTTAGGGAAAATATTTATTCAATAGAAAAATGAATAAAAACCAGAAAGAGAAGAAGAGAATTGCTGATTCTGGAAATGGCAAGGTGGCTGGTCCTGGAACTCAGCTTAGTCCACCCCTTGGCAGTTTTTAATGTATTCTCAGGGTAAGATGTGTACATGTATTTGTAAATGAGGCATGAATTTAAAGAACTGTTACTTCTGGGAACCCAGGAAGCTTTGCTGAGGGATCTTACCCTGGAGAGCACAGTATAAAAGAAAGTAATTCTCTCTCTTGCCTCATAGCAACTACTTTGGGGAAGGGACTTTACAAACATCTGCCCCAAGGCTGGGTGACAGCTGCATATCTGTGCAGTGTTTGTACGGGGCATGCAATACTTTACACACTAGCAGGGACACCTGCAGCATCAGTAGGTTTCTGGTCTACCAAGAGCAGTGTGATGATGCACTCCAGGCCAGCTGGGGTGGTTGCTGTGGCGAGTAACATTGTTAATTCTACCAACACAGGGGGCTGATGGGTAAATGACACTGTTGGCATCAGCAGTGGGCATGGTGTGCTAACCCTTAACACTGTGCCAGGTGGGGATGTTGGACCCAGTGGGGATTACAGTTTTGCTATCTGTGTGTAAGAACAATGCTCAGAACAGTGTGCAGCATGGGTTGTGCAGTGCACGACAGGGGCATGTGTGAGCACTCAGCAGATTATTGGAACTCCTTGGAAAACTGGACCAAGACCTCCAAGGCAGAAGGGTGCTTGGGGATATCACTGGAACTGTGAAATAACCATACATAAAAACTAAGACATTGTGATCAAAGTACATAATGTGCTGGCTAGTTTTTATTTTTATATTGGTTTATATTTTATTTTGTTTCCCATCTCTTGTCACTCCAACTTATTTGAAGCACTATTGTCAAGAATGACATTTTAAAGCATAATTTGCTGGCCAAGTTACAAATACTGCTCACCCTTGCTTCCACTCCAAACAAACAAACAAACAACAGCAACAACAAATGCTCCCATTTTCTATACTATGTCCAACATCCTCTAGTCTGCCATCTGCAAGCCTTCATGAGTGGGTAGTTCCAGGGATATTTCTCATTAGTCTCTTTCACAAACAGGTCCAGCAAAGAGAATTACTGACCCTTGCTCTCACGCTTTCTGCACTCTCCTGGCCTTGGGACTGTGCTCCTTTTGTTTACCTTCTCTCATTTTTTCTAGCTCCAATCCTGCCGGTCCTTCAGGGCTCAGATCCAATGCATGCCTTCCACAGTGCCCTTCCCACACCGCTCAGCTGGATGCAAACTCTTCCTTTTCTGTGGCTCCTTGTGTTTTTTTTATGAGGTTTTACCACTTTCCATCTTCTGCACTTATAATTTGTATGCATGGGTCATCTCCACTTATTAAGGATAAACCCCCTGCAGGCTGAAGCTTGGCCTGATATAACATTGCTTTTCTGGGCAGGACCAACCATGTGTTAGGGAAAATATTTATTCAATAAAAGAAAGAATAAAAACCAGCAGAAGGAACATTTCTATTTTTTTGCTCCTCACCACTGCCTCAGGGAGAACTAGGTGAGGTGTTTTGGGGTAGGAGAGAAGGGAGAAATAAGTGAGCTACCATATTTAAAGGTGACTAATGCTTTCCAAAGGAAATGAAAGCTTTGCAGTCATTACTATTTTGCAAAGCTTTATTTTCCCACTTAGGGGAGAGCTCTTCAATTTTGCAATCTGAAAAATAACTAAAAGCAACCACCACATGTAAGGCGGTCCCCACGGTCTCAGGAACTATTTTTAGGTCATTTGAACATGGTTTCGGCGGTGAAATGCTTCTCCAGCTCAGCTTCAGTGCCGTTTTCCTGACTCATGTTCGTTTCTCACGCTCCCTCTGGCCCGAGCCCATGCTCTTTACCTCATTCGTGTTATGCCATTTCCCCATTTGACTGTCCAAACTGGCACATCTGACAGTGGGCCCATAGCCACTTCCCTAAAACGTCTCCATGGGTGTCTGCAGTTTGTAGAACTTCATGGCCATCTGTGGCTGTGAGGAGCCAGGGGCCCTGGAAACTGCGTAAGGGTGGGGTTGGCAGGCACCAAAGAGTCTGAGCTCCTCTAACCAGGGCGTGAGCAGAAATAGAGATGCTTCCATCAACAGGATCACATCAAACACCCTCCTTTAAGTGTCTATATTTGATTTGTTCTAGCAAAAATGGGGCTTAGTGGACCAAATACCAACTTAGCATTTTTCATGAAGGACGAAATCCCAAACCACCTCAGCTCCCCACTGGGCACTGGGGCTCACCCAGTCACGTTCCTGCTGGTGACAGGTCTCCATCCCTTCCCTCCACTCCCTTCATTACCAGTACTTTAATGTCTAATCCAAGCACATAGAGCTGGGAACAACACGTGAAAGATTTCAAAGTGCAGAGCTAGGTCAAGCTTTGTGCATGCCCATCCATCCAGCATTTAGCTGAATGGTTTTGCACACACTGGGAATTGAACAAATACCTGGCCATGTAAACACAGTGGAAAGACAACTGGATTTGGAGAGAGGAGACCTCAGTTTTAGTTGGCTCAAGTACCAGCTTTGCATCTCTACCCCACCTCTGCCATATGACCATGGGCATGTCATCTACCCTACTGGAGATTTAGTTTTCCAATGCTAAGTCATCTCTAAGTCACCTCCCATTGTTCACACTCTCTGATTTTATTTGTGGATTGACTGATGTTATCATCAGTTGGCTAACATCAACTCCCCTGAGTTACCAGCAATGCCACCAACTGGTCTACCTGTCTTGTTCCTCTTCAGTCTAATGTCCACACTTCAGCCAGAATCATCTTTCTAATCAGCTTTCTTACATAAACCACATCATTTCATTCCTCTGATTATAACACTTTTCTACAGAAAAGCACTTGGTTTAAAAGTCCAAACGCACTAATGTGGATTTACGACCTGGCTTTACCCTGTCCTCCAATTCAGCCATACCCTCAGCTCCTCCAGCCCTTTGCAGATGCTGTTTTTTCTGCCTGAAGGTCTTTTCCATGTCTCTTTTGACCTATTCTTATTCATTCCTTGGGCCTCAGCTTAGACAGTGCTTCCCTTTAAGAAGCCAGTCCTGCACATCTCTCTGTGTGCCCATAGCATCCTGGGCTTATGCCTATTACAGTCCTATCACCCTGTCTCCCACTGTCTGTTATGCTCCTCTTTCCCGGACAGCCTCTAAAGGTAGCAGGTTTCCTGAACTTCACTGTATCCTCCATATTTTAGCACAGTGCCTGGCGCTGGTGAACCACTGAATGGATAACGATGCACTTGTACCTGGCTCCCATCCTGTGGCATTTCTTTCTCCAACATCCTAATTACCTGCATCATGGGGACACCCGCCCAGGTACTGACAAACCAACCTCCTGGCCTCTACTACTCATTTTTATAGCCACTACAATTTTCCCCAATAACAGCAGTGGCCTTAGGTGCTTTTCATCTTCTTCATCCCCAAAAAGGAAAAGAAAAACAAGGGTCAGATATGTGAACTGAAAATCAACTTACAAGTCCTTAGGTAGAAGACATTAGTAAGTAAAAGGTAATAACATATATATGAACTACCAGATTTACACTTGGCAATAAAAGAGTAAGTTAAAGACCACCAAAAAAAATACAGCATACAAATTCATGTGTATAATCAGCTAGATTCCACTTTGCTTCTCTTCAACACATGCAAGAACAACAACAACAAAATCTTTATGTGTCTATACTCTTACCCCAATCCAGGTCCCAGATACTCTGTCTTTAGGGATATATTCCTTTGTATTAAGCCAGATATGGCAAACACATAGCATATATCTTACCACTGTCCATTGTCATGCTATTGAAAGTCATTGCCAAATAATCACACAACTTTTTCTTGGTAATGCCTCAGAATCCTTTTCAACAGAGTGCTCCAGACATCAACTATCAGTAGGACCCAAGCTTAAGCCTCGTTCTCTGAAATTCCCTTTGTTAAAATGTAAAGGCTTCAGAGGCTGAAGAACAATATAGAGCACTGGAGTCTGGGGGTAGATTTATTGAGCAAGTGCTTTCTTTAAGATGGGAGAAGAAAGATTTGGGTACTCAGGGAAAGAGGGGCACAGAAAGGTGGGAGGGGTAGACACCACAAAAGGGAAGGAAGGGCTAGGGAGAAAACAGCAGATGAGGTCTGGGCACCAAGTTTATTTGCTCTAAGACAGAGGCTGGTCGAGTCCATAAAACAGGCACTGCTAGAGCCCATGTTCTTTGGAATGCACTCTCTCTCTCTCTCTCTGCGCTTCCATCCCTGACAGAGCACTGAACTGAACTAAACTTCCCCGCATATAGGGATCGGAGGGTTGTCCAGATTGTCACACATGAATAGCTTGTGTGAGTCTAGAGAAGGAACACTGATTAGCTTCCAATCTGCAGGTCTTGTGTTCAGCAAGCCTCTTTCTTTCAGAAGGAACAAAAGCATGGTGCTAGATGAGAAGGTTATAGAATGGAAGAAAAGTTTCCCACTCACTGGGTGAAAGGCCAAGCACGTTCCCTTGATTATAGACTATTGGGCAGCGTTTCTGAAAATGAGTATTGCCAGGTGGTTGAATGACGAAATCTAGGCCAGCTACAGAAATCATCTCCCATGCAATTGCCCAAATGCCTTCTAGGAGCTCTGATGCCAGCTGCTGATGCAAATAAGCCCATAATGAAACAGGCAACAGGAGTGGACAAACCTAGCATGCTCTGCCCACTAAATGACTTTTCAGGTAGAATGTAGTTAGATGCCTCAGATCCCTCAGCCATTCAAGCATGTTCATTGAAGATAGAACCAAGGAGCAACATTTTCTTGGGAAAGCAAGATGAGTGGCTTTGCAATGATTAATTCTTCACGAGAGAGAGAGGGGAAGTTGTGACTTGCTGTGTATGTGTGTGCACACCTGCATGTTTCTGTGCTTGGGAGGTTTCCATGAGCATTAAAATCAAACAATAAGAATGCTTCTTACCTGGAAATGTAAACATGATTAAATCCTTATTAAACCAAGATAAAGGGATTCTGACAGAACAGTACACATTTCTGGAACTTCCCTCAGGGTCTTGAACGACAAGCCTAAGTTGACTTTCTCCATGTAATTCTTACCGGCTGATGTAAGCAATGCTGGCAGCAGCCAGCAAGGTGAGTCCTGTCTTCTTTGATGGATAGGAGTGAGGCCTGAGGACGACTTCAGCCAATGTGATGGGGAATATGAAAGTGTGCTGCAGGAGAGAAAATGGCAAATCAGAATGGCAGGGTGTCCAGGGTGCCTACAGTGCCCATAATTCTCTGTTCCCCTTCCAGTCTACCTCTTACACACTGCTAGATGAAGCTTTCCAGGTCATGCTCCCTAGATGCCCAAGGACCTACCGTGGCTCCCTCTTACCTACCACATTAGTCCAAACTCCTCTGTCTGGCTACCAAGGACTTTGCAATGTGTCTCACCCTCTCTCTGGTCCTGCTTATTGCCCACTGCTCCCCTCTCCCTACTTTTTTTTGGCGGGGGTGGGGGGTGGAGATGCAGTCTTGCTCTGTCACTCACCCAGGCTGGAGTGCAGTGCCACGATCTTGGCTCACTGCAGCCTCTGCCTCCCGGGTTCAAGCAATTCTCCTGCCTCAGCCTCCTGAGTAGCTGGGATTACAGGCATGTGCTACCAAGCCCGGCTAATTCCTGACCTCAAGTGATCTGCCCGCCTTGGCCTCCCAAAGTGCTGGCTTGGCGGCTTGGCGTAAGTCACCGTGCCTGGCCCTCTCCTAAAACACACACACACACACACGCACACACACTCATGCATACTCTCATAAACATTCACACATTCATGCACAAACATGCACACTCGCACTCAAGCATATATAGTCATGCACATCCATGCACTCACACACACATGTTCATGCATACTCTCACAGATATTCACACATTTGTGCACAAACACGCACACTAACACATATACACTTCGGCATATTCTCACACACATTTGTGCACACACATGCACATGCACACATCCATACTCTTGCACTCTCACACACATTCATACATTTGTGCACACATACACACACACAACCCCCCTGTTAGACCGAGGCTGTCTCCTTCACCCTCCGTTGTGCTCAGCATGCTCGCTCGCACTTCCAGCCTCCTGTCCCTGCTTCCTCTCCCTGTGTGGACTGTGCCTTCTCTCCCTGGGATTCAAATCCTCTATGTTCTTTGCAGCCAGTGCAATCTTCCATGATGCTGTCTCTGAATTTTCCTCTTGCTAATTTCTCTCAGTCAACTCGACTGCATTTATATCCTGTGCCATGTAGTCTAGCACTTATGGTGTATATTCGTACGCTCTGGGGGGCCGGAGAACACGTTCCACCCAGTTCTGCGTTTCTTGTTGCATTTAGCATGGTGTAACTGAGCTCAGTCCTGCTGAGGGTGGTAAGTGTGTGGGGTATGCGTGAGCCTCCCTCTGAAACCCCTATGTCCTCCCCCTCCTTCCCTGCATCACCCCCTCCTTATAACCATCTGTTTTCTTACATCCTCCAAACCCTTAACAGTAGAGTTTTTAAAATGACATAATCAAGGAAATAACTTTAGGAATGATGGCGTTTTCAGATGCAAAGACTGCTGCAGCCTGCTCCCATCTTGGGTTATAGAAGCTGACCTGGGAAAGGTCACTGGAGTATGTGTGCCATGTGTTTTCATTTATTGATAACATTTATGAAGTCCTTCTGCCACCCTCTGAGCTTACTGGAAACATCTAGTAGTGCTAGTATTTTGCGTTTTTTGTAGTTCCAGCTATCATTCCTCCTTCACTCCTGCTTGCCAATTTCCTCAGCTCGTGGCTGCCTCTTTCACCCACAGTCTCCACCTGCAAGCTCCCGCCCCATCTTGTTCCTGAGCCCCAGGGCAGCGGTGTTGGCCCCTCAGTTAGGGCAGTCTCTGGAGCTCGGGAATGTCATTGCGTTCCCATGCCCAGCAGTGCAGCTGGAACTCTGGGTGCTGGCTCTGGGCAGTCTTTGCTGTCATTCACAAAAGACTTGTGCTCAGGAGGCATCCCCAGGAAGCAGTAGCTTCCTCCCATCCGAGCTGATCTGGCTACGGCAGTCGGATATCATAATGACCCACAGATGACCAGAAATGGGTCAAGTTTTGGTGAGGCAGGAGCAGGGTGAGAAGGACCAAGCTGTAAGTACAGGGCAGCACTGGGTGAAGAGGACCTCTCAGGGTGCCCCAGTTAAGGCCACAGTGGGGTGGCCCAGAGCACCTGGGCATCTCAAGGGCCCTGGGCACCCTGAATTTTACTAACGATGCCTAGAGGAACAGCATTGCAGACAAGCTACAGCTTTTACATAATTTGCTCAAGGTTGGTCCTGAACATACTGACTGGTTGGAGAAACAAATGGAAAGACTCCCAGGCCCCCGTCGCACCTTGCATATTTCTTCAGTCTGATTTTAGGCTGCAGCTTCTGTGTCTCTCCGTCTAATAAAAGAGCATGGCATCTAAAGGCACACAGTTTCTAATCTAACCCTGGGCTAGTGACCAAATCTCTCTGAACTTCAGCTTCCCCAGTTATAAAATGGGGACAATAAATAGTACATACCTCTAGTGATGCTGCTATGGGGATTGACGTGAGTGCGTGTAATATGCTTAGTCTTTGGCCCTGGAGAGCTTCAGTGAGCATTTGCTGGGGTTGTCACTATTATCAGTGTGACTGTTGTCTTTCATCTCATCGGTGGGCCCAGGGTGGGGTGCAAGCAAGGGCCTGGGATATCCATGGCTTCAGGTGCTTAGATGAACCCTGGCCTGTGGTCTGCAAGAGGCTGTGGCATGCCAGCTGCTGGAGTATGGTTGTCCCTGGGGCTCCCTCCCCAGCCCACAGCTGGTGCCTGCGTTCCCAGTCAAGGCCACCTTGGAGCCCTGCTGATGCTCAGTGACCAACAGGGATGCTCTCTTCATCCAGAGGCCACCTCAGCAGGCAGGAGATGGAGCTGTCTCCTGGCACAGCCACCTGCCCCTCTCTCCCAGCCTTCACTCTGCTGAAGCCAGGAAGATCCAACCTCTATTAAAAACCATTAACAAGCCCATTATACTGGCCATTGATCTGATGAATTTTATTAACCCTGCCCACAATCAGCAGCTCCCGTCCTCTACATTAACGATCATTTGGAACAGAATTCCTGTGGAATAATGTAGTGTGTTCGCGTTAGGAGTAAATGAGTTCGCAGTGCTTAATGCTTTTATAACAAACAACTCAGGAATGCATGACTGGTCACCTCTTTCAGGAGCCTGCCCTTTGCAAGTGACATTCAATTGGATTTCCAAATGAATTCTCCCTGATGGCTTCTGGGAAATTTACTTCAGTGATGTCATTAGTGATGGGCCATATACCTCGACTTCATCCTAGCTAAAAGGTCTTTGCAAGAATCACATTTTCCGGTCGGGGCTGGGGTAGGAAGTAGGAAAAGAGCCTTCTAAATATTGAGCGGCAGTGAAGAGCTAAACATGATGCAATAAGCCTTCTGGTGTTTCAAGCGTATGGGTATTTCACCTCACTTTGACATAAATCATATGACCTTTGTCAGACAGCACATATTTCAAAAAAAAAAAGGAAGAACAAATTCAGTAAGAGAAAAATAAAATATGTTTTTGCTTCCAAAAAATCTAATAATTAGGCTGCGATTGACACAAATTAGAATGCTGCCAAAAATTACTGGAAACACTGACTCACTCTGTATTTCAATTAACAGTTTCTCAGTTTCCCTTACAAACAGTGAAGCTGACAAAAATTAATTATCTCAGAGGGGGTAAAATATTTCCTTCCAAAGTAAACAAAACATCATGGGCTGAAACAATAGCATGCGTAAACAGAGGGGATCTAGTGGAGCTATCTTTCCTTGTCCTTAAAGTCACCATTTTGGTAGATTTTCCTTTAAATGTCTCTTTCCAAATGCAACGGTTATAAAGAGATGTTCTTCTCCCATCCTTTTCTACTCAATTATACCTTCCCCCCACCATCCTCCATAAAATGCCAACTTTCACCTAAATATCTTGGAGTGAGAACTACAAGCATGAAGTATTGATTTAAGTATTAGTGTAATAATCACAGTAGATTCTCTGCTTACAAAATAGCCTTGCAGATGATAAGTACTAAGATTTACCAGCCCATGGAAAATTTGTACAGGGTTGCATGAGTGACAACATGGAAAATAGTGATAATGATTTGAGCACTTGTTTGTACTCACCCCCTACAGGTAGATAAGTGGCTCCATTAAACAATTTCCCTGCATATGAGGCTAAACTTACAGTAGGATGAAGTTTGCCTGACCCTTGAGAAAGAAGCAAGCCTTAATCATTGAGGTAACACATGGATCCGACAGGTCTTTATCACTGTCATGGAAGCTCCAGAAACTGAATCTTTAAGGCTAGGCTGATCACACTCTTATCCTAAGTTTCCTGCGGGGACAAGAGCACTTAATTTTCTCCAGTGAAAAAAAATTCAGAGAGCCTACATATTGCAAAATCAGATGATAACATAAAAAATATATAATCTCTGCTTCTTTCCTCTATTTCATTTCCCTTCTGGACTATCTCTTGTGTTGAGTTTGAGTTGACCAAGATAAATACACTGACTTTGACCCTCTCAGATGGGTCATCAAGAGGCTTTCTCCTTCAGATGTTGTTTCTATATCACCTGCTGCATATTTGCCTTAATACTCTCTCCCTCTCCTCTATTCAGGCCACATTCCGATCTGCGAATTAGTTCCTGATATTGGCTCTTCCCAAACTGAGGTCCTTTCCTCCAAGTCTCTGCAATAATACCTTTGGTTTGCTTATGGTACTTACGGATAAATATTTTTAAGTGAAGTTTTAGTGCACTAACAAGATCTCATTTCTGAGTACATTAAGGAGGATTTCTTTTGTTTACAATATATCAAATATATCATTTTTTTAATTTTAGAAAATGGAAGCCTTCACAAAATCTCTTTGGGGAAAACACATGACCAAAATATCAATTAAAACATAAATGTAAATACAATAGACATAGAAATGGAGGCAAAACAAACCTTAATCGAATGCCATCATATCCAGGCTTATTATTACGCTGCTGGGTCACATTTCTTAAGCTTGAAAATTGCATGCGATAAAGGCATGCAGTAATAGTTGTTTTGTAAATTCCAGTAAGGCAATCTCTGGTTTTGATAATACCATCCATTTGCCAGCTAAAAACTTTTACCTCCTTCCTCACTAACTTCCTGTGCTACAATTTCTGCCTCTAACTCCCTACAGGTAGAGACAATGGTGATGGTCGGTGACATTTTTAGGAATATTTTGTATCTGAAAGCAGAGACCATCTGTATTCTCTATGTTTCTTACATCATTAAAGATACAGTTTTGCTTTAAGTAAATCTGATATCTGGAAATCTGGAAATGTGCACGTAGGCTATAGAGCTTATGTCTCTATGGGACTTAAAAAACAACAACTTCCAACTATGCTACCTGTAGGAGTCTTTTCAGTCTCAAAGACTGAAGTTTTTAAAGAGAATTGGGTTTGTAAAAATTCCCTTTTCTACTTTCTAGGAACTCAAGTGCACAGGCTAGACACTACTGTCATTAAAGAGTCAACATTAAAATTCGTGGGGAGGAAGGGATTGGGGAGCGAAACCACCCACAGAAAGAGCCACTGACTTCTCTTTGATCTCCACTGTCAACCTAGGTGGGCTATCACAGGTTCCCCAGCCTGCAAACGCAAGTTATATGGCAAGGAGTAGTCATGTTTGCAATTTACTCTGAAATGCACCAAAAACAAGATGAATAAATGGATGCACAGGTGGAGAGATTTGTGAGAAAGCAAAAACAGTAAACTATTAACAGTGGAATCTACGTGGTAGGTGACCCAGCTGTTCACTGTAAAATTCTTTCAACCTTGCTTTATGTTTGAAATTTGTCATAATAAGACATTGGGGGAAACATGAATAGTCTTTACTGATCTGGAAAGAGAAATGAATGCCCCACTGGGCCAAGGAAGAAAAGCATAGTGTTGTTTATGAACTCTTATGTGACTTGAACAGGTGGTTAAATGACAACTTTATGAATCTTCTGAAGAGAATTTTTCAGGGATCTTTTACTTACTACACTGCTGTCCTTTGGGTTAATATGTCTTTTGACCAATATCTCAAAGCATCATTCTATTACAAAACTAGTTGGCTTTGAAGGAATCCAGCCTGGTGAAGAAGCGACAATTTGGATTCTATCCAGTTAAGGATAAGATTTTTTTTAAAAAAAAAAGATATGGGATCTTAGGACCCTACAATCAGGAATCAGGAATATATCCACCTCTTCCTGCCCCCTTCCCCTCTCTCTCCACCCCTCTAAAGTATCCAAATCCCTTCTTCCTATTGAGCTCTCTCTGGCAATAATAACACCCTACACACCTGCTGTCAGTGCTGACTCACTCCTTTACTCCTCACACTCAAACTTCATTCACTTTTCTACCAAAATGCTTCCCATAGCTGCTTATTCTTTTATCTTCCCAGGCATCACTTCCTTAGCTTTTCCCTATTTTGGTACCTACAATCACTTAGCTTTTCCCTATTTTGGTACCTACAATCACTTAGCTTTTCCCTATTTTGGTACATATAATCAGGTGCATAGTCTGGTACGTTGCAATCGGGCAAACCTAAAAAAAAAGTTTTAATGTTGCTACTCCCCAGCATAAAAACCTTCTGTGGCTCTCTATTGCCTCTGTCCACTATCTATACACCTTCCCTCATCTCAGAGCATCTCAGCAGGCTCCCTCCCTTCTACTCAGTCTCCTTATTATCCTTTTGTTTCAACCCATTTTTCTTCTCTAGTATTCTTCCCTTTTTTCATTTTTTTAACTCTTTAATTTTTTCTCTCCCAATTAGCCCCATACATCTTTGAGACACCTTACTAAAAAAGCCCATTTATTAACATGAGAAGATAGAAATGAAAATTAGAACTCAGAAGAACACTGAAACACAAATACACCAACCAGAAGGCTTACTGGGCTTCTATTGTTGAGATTCAAGTTTAGCAATATGTTCCCAGACAGATAAAGTAAAAAGAGAGAGATGAAATGTACACACTTCCTAGTTTTTGTTTTTCAGAGAAATTAAAGTTTTCCCCCTAGGCATTAGGCCTGAAAGAAATTACTACCACTGCATTTTCATTTTAGCGAGACTAAGCCTCATAGTGACCTCAACAGTGTCCCCATAACAAACAGTTCAGAGGTCTAGTTTCCATAAACTGATAATATCTGAAGGCAAAATAACGAAGCTCAATCAAGTGAAGGAGATGCTGCCAGTGAGGAGGTAATATTTTATAATTTTGTAGCCTTATGTGATCTGAGCAGTACAGGAACTCCAGAAGTACCATTTTCCCCATGGGTGTTTTGTTTGTTTTTGTTCCAATTGTGAATCGGACACCAGCCAGGATTTTATTCTTTGTTTAAAGCCTCAAGTGCAGGCATTACCACTGTTGATAACACAGTTATCTAAATACTTGGAGAAATTAAAAGAGTCAATGCTAATGTTGAACCCTTTTATTGCAAATAAGAAGCCTCACCAAGGAAACCATCCCCAGCCCTTCTGTATTTGCAAGGCTGTGGCCCGTCCTGCCTTCTCATGGGATGCTCACTCTTCTGTCTGTTCTGCAGCCCCTTTGGTCTGCACTCAATGCTTCAGTGCTTAACAGTATTCCATTTGGTTTTTCACACTGTCAATTTCATGTGTTTTTTTCCCCTTCCTTTTCTTAAAGAGATGATAAACTCTTTGAGGGCAAAGCTCTCATTTATTTTTTCAGGACTCCTCTCCAGCCTCTCCTTAACACACATTTTGACTCTTTTTCTTGTGCACTTGTCCACTGTAGGATCGAGTCTTTAATGTGGTCTGCAGAGGTCCCAGGGATCTATCTTTCTTCCTGTGCCCACCCTCTAATTACTCTGCTCTCCCACCTGAAGACCTGGTTTCCTCTCTCACTGTGGATACAGCACTCACCTGTCCCTCCCTCCCTCAGCCCCCTTGGCCTTCACATCACCTTACAGGGCTCAGTGGCCCTTAGCTGAATCCTGAAACTCCAGCAGGTGCCCTTTCTTGGCAGAACTGAAGGCTCCTGTGCTCATTCCCATCATGACATAACACTCGTACGTTCGCCTAATACTGACCAAAGTCTTCCAGAGATGGAAACAACTCAAGGCTTAGGGTCACCATTTTCTCTCTAGTGCCTACCACATTGTTTAATCTATTCTGGCCACTTAACATCAGTGACATTAATGAACGAATCAATGAAACAAAGTGGGGCAGAAGAGGAAGAGAGGTCTTCTGCACAGCCTGGGAAGCCAACCCAGACTTGCTTCACTGGATACCAGCACCCACATAGCAGGCTGCGTCCAGGATGGCAGGGTTGCAGAATCAACCCCACTTCCAGCTGGTGACCTTAAGGATTTCTCACAGCTGTAAATGGCACGCCAAAGCTTGGAAATTGGTGTTGGGAGTCAATACACTTGGATATTTGTCCCCTCCAAATCTCATGTTGAAATTTGATCTCCATTGTTAAAGATGGGGCCCAGTGGGAGGTGCTTGGGCCATGGGGGTGGATCCCCTATGAACAGCTTGGTGTGTTTGAGTAATGAGTGAGTTCTCACCCTTAGTTCCCATGAGATCTGGTTCTTAAAAAGAACCTGGCACCTCCTCCCCTCTCTCTTGCCTCTCTTCTTCTCTTTCCATGTGACATGACATCTCCCTTGCTTTCTGCCATGAGGAAAAGTTCCTGAGGTCCTCACCAGAAGCCAGGCAGATGTTAGCAGCATGCTTCCTGTACAGCCTGCAGAACCGTCAGCCAAATAAACCTCTTTTCTTTGTAAATTATCCAGTCTCAAGTATTTCTTTACAGCAATGCAAAATGGACTAACATGGGGGCTACAGGAAAGCCTGTGAACAAGTATGACTCTTGGAAACAATCAATGGGTGCCCACTCTATAGTCACTAAATGGTAGACTCAATGAAAAGGCACCACTGAGCAGGAGCTGGCAGCCCTACAGGAAGTCAGAAGATACAGAGCCAGCAGAGACTGTCCTTTGTTGATCTTGAGACTCACTGGTCTGTGGCTCTACATTCTGAGATGGGGCCAGGTGGAAGGGCCCCCAGGTTTTGCTTGGTATCTCCTCCATGCCCCTCCTCTTCATCAATCTGTAATTCACCCTCCTCCATGCTTCTTTGCCTGGCTTCACATGGTGCACATGGAGACTTGTTTTAAAGACAGAAACAGATGGGCAGCTCTCTGGAAAGCTGCTCCAAGTTGGAGGAAGGAGATTGTTCTTTTAAAGAAAGAGGAAGTTTAGGAAGCATGGGATCTACTCTCACTTTTGGGAAACTGTGTCTCAGGGCACTATCCCTTCGTTTCCAATATCTCATCACGATGTCAAGTAAGGGCTCAGAGTGTGTAAGCAGCTGGTTTCCCTGGGAGATAATAGTGGTTCTGGAAAGCACCCTGTAAGCACAAACTCAGGGGCACAGTTCCAAACCTTCCGCATGACTGATCCCATGACAGATGTTTCCACACTTTCTCCTTCCTGCCTCTGGCCTTCTCTCCCTTGCTGACCTATGAGGGTTTTCTAAAGGGATGTGCAGGCTGTTTTGTGAGAATGGCATCTACTCATTGGTGATTTTTCTAAATGCACATAATCAGTTGATTTAGGGTTAGTCAATCTCTCTCTCTCTCTCTCTCTCTCTCTGTGGGTGTGTGTGTATGTGTGTGTGTACCTCTTGCCAGTGGAGAAGGGAATGGCTAAGAGTAGGGCCTAAAAGTAAAAGACAAGAAGTTGTTTTCCTAGGAAATGCCTTCATTCAATACCCATCAAATATCTCTCGAGAAGCAGTTCTGCTTCAGCATTCTAGGTAACTGAAAGGTATATAAGATATGGTCTTTGAACTCAAAAAATATTAATAAATTTCAACTTACATCTATTGTAACCCTACAGTGTCAATCTAGGACTAGGTGAGTCCTAAAGCATTATGTAGAGGAGGCTCTGAAAGTGTTAGACGACAGTAGGCAGCACCACATCAAGCCTTTGGAGTTCACACTGAAAGACCACAAGTCCTTGTTTAAATCAAAGAATGAGTTATGGCAAAAATCTTCCTATCCTAAAAGACTCAAGGATTTCCCTTCAACAGCTTTTGTGACATTCCCAAGCTGTATCTAACGATCTCAGAATGTGCCACTAAATTGTGTTTTGTTATTTCAAAATAAAAGTTAATTTTAATTCCCTATTATTAAAAACATATAACTACATGTGAGAGGTTACTTTTTCAATTATGAACATTTTTTTTCTTTTTTGTTTTTTTTGAGACAGAGTCTTGCTCTGTCACCCAGGCTGGAGCGCAGTGACATGATCTCGGCTCACTGCAACCTCTGCTGCCTGGGTTCAAGCGATTCTCCTGCCTCAGCCTCCCAAGTAGCTGGGATTACAGGCGTGTGCCATTGCACCTGGCTAATTCTTGTATTTTTAGTAGAGATGGGGTTTCACCATGTTGGCCAGGCTGGTCTCGAACTCCTGACCTCAAGTGATCTGCCTGCCTTGGCCTCCGAAAGTGCTGGGATTTAGGCATGAGCCACCCCGCCCGTCCATGAACTTTTTTTTTCTTGCTAAGAATCCAAGAGCAAAACAAAACAAAAGCAGAAGGCCATCTATAGGCTATCAAGCTAAAGATGTCCAGTAGCATAGTAAATTTATGAGTTTGACACTCAGAGGAGAAATCCAGCTGGAGACAGAGGTTTGGGAGCCATCAGAGTATGGACATCACTGGGTTAAGTGGTAATAGATGAGATAACCCAAAGAGTATATGAGTTGGAGGAAGAATAAAGCATATAGGAGAAAGCGCTGTGGAGACACACCAGTTGAGTCAGGGTTTCTAAACCTCTGCACTGTTGACGTTTTAGAATCCATAAGTCTTTGTGGTGGGGGGTAGGCTGGCCTGCACATTGTAGGATGTTAAGCAGCATCCTTGGCTTCTACCTAGTAGCAAGCCTTCCCCACTCCCCAAAGTTGTGACAATTAAAGCTGTCTCTAGACATTGCCAAATGTCCCCTGCAGGGCACAATCCATCCTGGTTGAGAATCCTTGATTTAAGAAATAGGCAAAACAAAAGCATTTTGCAAGGCTGATTGACAAGAGTGGTCAGAAAGTCCAGAGGTAAGGAAAAGAGGGAAAGAACTATTTAGGAGAGATGTGTCCAATGTTGTGGAGTGGTATTCAGGCATGAGCACCAAATCTACTAGGTTTCCAGACAAGAAGGCTGTTGGTAAGCATGCAGGCCAGGCGCTTGCCCCTTGTGTTTCCAATGAGCCTGTCCTTCCTTCCAGGCTAAGTCCTCCATTTCTTGTTGAGTGTCTGGGACCTTTAGGGCTCAACCTCCTGCTCAGCGGATTCTTGGATGTGGAGCCAGGAGCCTGAACACTGAGGGAAGGTCAGCATAGAGATGCTCCCCAGAGGCCACTGCCGTCAGTTCCACAACCCCGAGGTTGGCTGGGAATCTTAACAAGTTTGTAAGTGTAAAATTTGGGCACCTGCAACGCAGGACCAGTTGGCAAGAAGCCCACTTGCTTAGAACCCACCACACTCCTGAGAACGCAAGCCTGGGGCATTGAGACAAATTCCCATGGCCAAGAAATGTGGCTCACTTCCTTATCATGGTCTTCTCAGGAAAAACTGAAACAAAATTTCTCCAAAGGTCACAAAATTCCTTCTCACCACAGAATAATACAATGTGGCTTTTAGGAGTTCCTAGTTGTGTTCAGAGGGAGATGCTGAAGACACACACATGCTTTTATTCATAACCAATTTGTACCAGGCGAGCTCTCCAGAATACCCCTCTGAAATGATTGTGCACTTTTTGGTTTCCAAATTCAGAAGACACAAAAAGCACAAGGGTTTGTTTTGTTTGTTTGTGTAGGGCACTTTAGCTTTCAAGCTGAATTTTCATGGGTAAATTAGTTTCTAATAAAAGGAAGAGAAACGCTGAAATCTCCTCTGTTTTTATGAGGCTTCTCTTTTTATTCTGCCCTCAACATAAGAAGAAACTTGATTGCTATTGGACTGTTAAAACTCCAAATTCCATAGCAGCCATGAAAACACTTGTTCTGTTTCTATTTGTGGAATTCCACAGGCATGGATTTACTTTTCATATGCACAACAAATGAACCTCATTCCTAGCTTCTTTGCCCATCAACAGGAACCCCTGGTTGGATAGCATCAGGTATGTCTCCCAGGGCCAGCAGCAGCCCAGCAATAGTGATGAGGAGGGAAACTGACCTATCACAGGCTTTCACAGAGACAGAAAGGGGCTGTTTCTTTTTTCAACTGTTTCTCCTCTTCCCCTGATGGCCTCTCTTTCATCTGGTTACTGCCATGATCATGTCCTTATTCCTCTGCTTAATTGCAGACTCTGCCTCCTTTTTTCTTTGATTCACTAATTCTTTGGAGACATGAATACACAGTTACCTAATTAACATCTGACCACGGTGGATGTACAGAGGAAAGTATCAGCCTAGAAAACTTTCTGCCAGAGAGTATATGCTTTTAGCTACCGCACCAATCAGAACAGACATTGATTCGCCTCAAGCAAAATATATGTAATTATGACTCTATGCATCTCTTTGAACGTAAGTCAGTCATGATTAGACCACGTGTCTCAGATATAACAACCAAAAGCCCTATAGATATTTCAAGGCACTGGTAAGCTTCCTAGCAGTGTCCTCATTTATAACTTTCTGTATAAAAGAACACTCCAAAGTGTCCAAATATACAGTGTCAGCTACAGACGCTGACACTTGGGTTGCTAAAGGCTTTCCCTCTGCCTCTAATGCTTCTTGGCCCCAGCACACCTCACTCCACCCCAAAGGAAGAAGAACTCTGGGGTCAGTCAAGGTCATAGAGAAACTACTGAAGTAAGAGATGAAGTCTTCATTCATTCTCTCATGCCATAATCATTAAGTGCCTACCACATACCAGGCATTGTGTGAGGTGCTAAGGATCAGAAGGTGGACAGATGTGGTCCCTGGCCTTGCAGACCTTACAGTCAATGGGCAAGATTTCCTGTGAGCAAGTAGGGAAACAGATACCAATCACAATATGTGCTATGAAGGAAAACAAACAGGAATCTAGGTACCAGAACACAAGTGGAGGCACGTACTTCATGGAAGGCAGTCAGGAAAAGCCATTCTGAGAAGACCACGTCCAAGATGTGTTCTAAAAGCTACAGCTGAGCCATGGGAGAGCAGATGGGGAGCATCTTGGGCAAGGGTGCAGTACGCACGAAGGTCCTGTAGGAGAATGAACTTCAAGAGCTGCAGGGCACAGTAAAGCCTGGAATGGCTGGAACATGGAGTGCCAGGGGGAGAGAAGCTCAATCTGTGTCTGCAGCATTAAGCAGGGCCCAGGTTTACCAGGTTTTGTTGGCCATAGGAAGGAGTTCAGGTTTATTCCAAGTGAAGCGGGAAGCCACTGCTGAGTACTAAAAAGGGAAATAACATTTTGCAATCGATTTTGCCATGGTCTGTAGAGGCCTGAAAATGAAAGCTGGAGGACCAGTTTGGAGATGTTGTATTTAGGTGAGAAATAAATGTGGCCACGAGGGTGTTGGCAGTGGAACTAGAAAGTGAACAGATTTGCTACCTATTCTGGAGGTAGAATGGATGAGAGTAGCTAATGGAATGGATAGAGTGGAGGGAGGTGGCAGGGTCAATGCTGGTTTCTGTCTTGGGCAATTGGGAGGATGATGGTTCCATTTCCTGAGATGGAGATGCTCAGAACAGATGAGAATATAATGTATTCAGTGAGATATTATAATATAATACAATATATTCAGTGAGAATAGAATATATTCAGCTCTGTACATGTTGATTCAGAGATACCTACTGATATATACAGTAGCAAGGTCAGGTAGCAGCTAGCTATGCAAATCTGGAACTCAAGGGAGATCTGAGCTAGACACTCAGCACATGGAAAGAACAAAAGCCATGGGAATGAATGGATGCCAGTTACTGGGGAAAGGGCATTAGCAAAGCAGAGGTCCCATGGGAAGCCTGGAAGAACATCACCCTTTAGAGGGCAAGTGGGGGATCCAAGCGGAAACCGAGGTAGGAGAAGAACAAGGGAGTGTGGCATCAAAGGGTTAAGGAAGCAGAGTTTCAAGGAGAGAGAGGTGCCCAGTGCTGCTGAGAGGTGAGGAAGATGGGGGCAAAAACAGGTGCCCAGAATTTGGTAACATGGAGATAATTGGTGACTAGAATATGATGAATGATCAGAATAAGAATAGATCCTAAGTACAGGTCTGAGGGCAACACTCGGGTTATGTTCCATTCCAAGAAGCACACTTGTGTGCTTGAGTGACAACATCTGCCCCAAAGGAACTCCCAATTAGCCAACCCTTCTCCCACCTCTGTAAATCTTTGTAAGAAACAGTGCAGGGCTCAGGAAAATGAAGCTATGACTTGAGGTTTGCCTCTGCTTCGGGTGGTAGGAAGAAGGGTTGTCTTTCCACATCTTTACTTTCATCTTGTAGAGCGGTCAGTTCCAAAGACTGGAGGCCAGAGAACAGGACTCAGAAAATTGCTCAAGCAGCAGGTGCCATTCTGCTTCCAGTAAGGCCAAAGGGACAAAAGGCCCCAATATGATTCACAAGAATAAAAGAGGTTGGGAAATTGGGGAAAAATTAAAAAACAGCCACTGTGTTGGAAGAATTTATACCCTGGGACATTAGGCAGCCAGTGCAGGCCTGGGACAGACCTGAGAGTTTGGTTTCTGGTTAAATCCCTGAATGGCGGAAAATCCCAATTAACAAATAGGACTTGGATTTCACCTCTCCCCTCCTGAGGAGGCCCAGGTAGTTCTGTAGGCTTGTGTGCATAACTTCCATGCTGATACTAACAGCCAAGTAAATCAGGCAATCCTGGGTGCATTAAAACCCAATCCTGAGACTTTAATAATATGCAAACTAAATAAACAGCATGCACCAGGAAACAAATACAAACTCATCCTTAATTGTTACATTGCCTAGCCTGAAAGGCAGGCAATTTGAACACCTCAAGCAATCACGTTATGATCAAGAGCCTTTTCTTAATTGCCAGAAACCCTACGGGCCTCTCCTCCAGGAGAGGATCAGAAAGGACAACACTCCAGCAAATTCATCTATAATCACAATTTAGCATTATTACATAGCAGCCTGTCCCTAATAAAAGGATGAACAAAATGAATTCTTTAATCACTAGTTCTCTTTCTTTGCTGATGCCTATCCCTTTAAAATGAGTATTTTAGAAACTTTGCATTTTCCTCTGAAATGTACTCTGACCTCCTGCACATGATCCTCCCCAATCTATGTTATTTAATCTATTTATTTATTTACTTTGAGATAAGAACCTTGCTGAATCGCCCAGGCCGGATTGCAACGGCACAATCTTGGCTCTTTACAACCTCCGCCTCCCAGGCTCAAACGATTCTCCTGCCTCAAGCTCTCAAGTAGCTGAGACTACAGGCATGCATCACCACACCTGGCTAATTTTTGTATTTTTTGTAGAGATGGGCTTCGCCATGTTGCCCAGGCTGGTCTCGAACTTCTGGGCTCAAGCAATCCACCCGGCTCAGCCTCCCAGTGTTGGGATTACAGGCGTGAACCACTGCTCCTGGCTCTGACTACATTATTAACTGGAATTAGTGATTAGTTGCATAGTGTAGAAATCTGTGCCTTTAAGAAAAGTAGAGATGCTTCCAGCAGGGAAGGAACATAAGCTTGCACAAAAGGCCTTTTCACTATGTTGTCTCCCACATGAATCTAATCTACCCCATACCACTTCCAATGTATTCCTATATGTCAGGATAGTGTCTTACCATGGATTCAAATTCCCATTAATATTTTTTTCTAGTCAGTATTTCCTCTTCTACTGACATGGAGGTCATACCCTCCATGTGTATTATGAGAGTGGTTATTTTAGAAATTATAATGTGCTTATTTAACCTGGTCATGGCTGACATAGGTCACTATCTGTAGCCCCTCACCCCCCAACACTCCAACAGGACCTTAGAATACCTCTATTCCAATCACCCCCTCTCGGTTTACACTCTATTTTTGCTCAGCATTTTAGCTCATTTTGGGGGATTTTTTGTATTTTTAATCACTACATGTTGGACAAATTCTTTTCCATTGCTTTTAGTATCCAAACCTCCGTTCTGAGATCCTATTTCTTCTTTCTAGAGTATTCCCTTTAGCATCTCCTTCAGAGAAGACTTGTGGGTGGGGAAATCTGCTCTAGTGTGTCCGAAAATGTCTTTATTTTGCCTCTATTGTAAAAGACACTTTCAGTGAGTAAATACGTTGACAGTTTTTTCCTTCAACACTTTGGAGCTATTATTCCATCCCTGGCTTTGCTATTGCTATGAAGAAATCAGCTATCGATCTAGCCATGGTTTCTTTTTAGGAAATCCATCCTATTAATCTGGTTAATTTTTGGGTCTTCTTTTCTGTCTAAGGTTTCTGTCGTGTCACACAGTAGGTAGATGAGAGTGGTTTCAGTCCAGCCTTAGTCCTGTATGGAATTTATTTTGCACTTCTTGAATCCGAGGATTACTTTTGCATACATTCTGGGAAATAATCAATGTTTATCCCTTCAAATATTGCCTTTACCTCACTCTTCTTGGTACCTTTTATTCTGCTTTATTTTAGTTTTGGGAATTTCCATTACTTTCTTGTTGGTAAGCCAAGCATTTTAAAAAGATTTTTAAGAAATATTTTTATTCAATGTTTTGGGTGTCTTATGAAATATTTTTTTTTCATGTTACGGTTTCGCTATATGGCCAGAAACGAAATCACTCAGGACTTTTTTCCTTTGAATGAATAACTTTCTCCTCACATTAAAGATCATTGGCATGATTCAGAAGCAAGCTGTTGATCCATGAATTTTAAGGTCATGGATCAACAGGGTTCACTTGGGAAAACAGAAGCCCATCCAGGGATTCCAAGGAGGAAGGGTTTCAAGGCTTAGGAAGCTGTTGAAAAGGGAAGGGCAGTGAAAAATAAAGGAAATTTCAACCAGATGGGGGTGATTCATGGGAGCTCACCAGGAAGCTGCTACAAGTGTCAAAAGTCTTCATGAACTGCTATCATTGATCTCAGCTACTCGCAGGATGAAGTGTGTGATTCCTAGGTGCTTTTCCAGAAGCCACTGCTAACCTCATGTCTGCAATCTTCCCACACATCTATTTGAAACTACCCACTAGGGAATAATGGATTCTCTTCCTCCACACCTCATGAGAATGCCTCTCATTGGCTGACTGTTGCCTGGAACCATATGGAGAAAGGGATTCTAGCAACAGTGGGTGGCTCCGGGTTTATCCCCTGCAACGCAGAGGAGAATGGAGAAGAGGCGATGGTGATTCCAAGTCAATAACGATTTGCATGGGTCGTTAATGTATCACTGATAGCACTTTATATTGCACATGTAATATATTTGTTTCTGATAACAATGCGGAGAATTAAGGATGGTAAACATACTTTGCCTGTTTAAAGGAACCCAATATCAAGAGAGGTTTATTAATTTTTCTGAAAGCACACAGCAAGGCAATGGCAGAAATGGAATCAGAGTTGAGGTTTTCTGGTACTTAATTCTTTTCATGAACTAGAAAACAAACTTGTCAATTATTTTTACAACTTGGACATAGAGCTAAGAAATTTTGCTCCTCCTCACACCAATCTGACTTTTAGGGATCAAGCTCTAACACCTTTATTTCTAGTAGCTTATCCCTTTCAACTTTTTAGCCCAAGTAGACATTTTAAAAATGTGAAGGGGCATTTGTGAATAGATTTGAGTTACCAGATGGTCCATTTCCTGATGACCTGTACCTGAAGATGATTAGGTTATATGCATTGTGCTCTAAACGTCACCATCTGAAAAAAAAGAAGCCACTAAATCTAAGGGTCATTCTCATTGGACAGGCAACTCAATCTTTCAGTTGTCAAATATTCAACAAATATTTCTGAAGTGCCTTTTTTTGCCACACTTACAATTTCTGTGATCCTGATGATATTTTAAGCTTCTGACTCTGACATTAGGTTAGTGAAGTATTATTTTAAAATATGTCAGAAAGAGTATGCATATTAATTAAAATGTTCCCATATATAAGCCTTAAACTAAACTCCCTGTGCCAATTGGAGACAAAAGACCTTTATTAAATACTGTTAGATAGGTTAAGTATTTTACTATTTCTGCCAATCACTGCTACAAAATAATATTCATTGTCAAGCATGAAATGGGTAAAAAAGGAAATCTCATCTTATTATCATCTCTTAGAGTCACATGTCCTAAGATGATAGCAAAACCAGCATTTGCAAGCAATGGCCACATCCTACTGCTCCTGATCAGTAGGCCTGTTATCATCAGGGCTGAATTCTGTTTCAATGCCAACATAATTACATTGCTGGTTCTCTGAGCAGATAGAGGGAGGATGCACCAACACACCCAGAGATTTTTGTGTTAATCGAGGTGCTCTCAAATGGCATCTGGGGCCATTTTAATTGTCAGCCCCCGTTAAAAGTTTGCAAGTACACTCTGCACTCAACGTAGAATCCCTAAGATCAGTGATCTGAGTGAGAATCAACAGAATCCCAAATTTGAGCAGACCTTTTACTCACACTTCAGTAGATACTGGCGGGTCCCCCTGTCTCTCACATGGCTTAACATGCATGAGCTTCCTAGAGACAGAGCTCTTTCTTGTCCTCATTTCTGCACCCCTCTTTAGTTTTACCCCATTGTAAAGTTTTAGAGGAAATGATAAATCCAGCAAATGCATGAGAGTGACAGAAAGGGGATGAAGCTAAGGTAGGTAGGCCAACGATAGGTTGAAAGAGTTGAAGAGACTGAGGAGGGAGATGGCAAAACAAGGACCTTCTCTATATAAATGGACTTGGATCTTGGATTGGGAGAGGAAGATAAAGGGCAGAGCTGAAAATTCAGAAACTCAAGATGAGAAATATCTAAGAGCTAAGGATCCACGTGACGGACGTGTAATACATGGGCAAGTGTAATTACACTATCAAGAGGACTACCAGGAAATGCTCTGCAGAATTATTCCACTGGCTGGTAATCCAAGGACCTGGAGGTGGGAGGAAGACAGAGGAATTGGACAAATTCAAATTTCCAATTAGGCATAAGTGGCTTCTTAGTAGGCAGAGAAGATGATGAGACCAGGAACAAGGTGTGGGGGCTGGTTGAGAACCTGTCAGAAGCTCCCTATTCAAGGCAAGGACGGAACTCCACAGCCTACAGCGTGTCTGCCTCTGGGGTTATTAAGCAACCAGAAGCATGGCAGGGCCTTTTCTGTGCTGGCTATTTAATTAGGAAGAGGAGTGTCAGTACTAACCTGGCAGAGAAGGCGCTCTCATCCGCCCAGCAGGCTGCTCTCGGGGATTTTTCACGTCTGTCTTGAGATCATGGGAGTTTGGCTCTTTCCTTCCACTTAGATTTTTAGTTTTTGCTCTTAGTATTTCAGAGAGATTTAGGATCTTCTGTTATGAGTTTCTCCAGCCTGGTTATTCTCCAGCATCAAGTCATTCTTCCCGTTGGGGTGTTACACATGGTTGCCAAGGATGTGAGCACTGGTTGATTCACACAGGAGAGGGACTCACCAGCAAGCCCTCAAGGTCACTGAATAATTTTAATTACTAAAATTCCTAGTAACTTCTCAGAAGACATCTATACTTTTTTGATCACTAAAAACCTTTGACCTTGATTGAGAAATTAGAATTTTTTTTTTTACTGGTTTTCTTCTGTTTAAAAAGCAGCCTGTTGATAATAGGAAATCACTGAATAATGGAATTTTAAAAATATGCTACTCTTGAGCATACATTGGAAGTTCTTTGAATTGGGATTAAAAGGAGGAAAAAAAGAAAAGGCATGCTTTCATCATCCTGGTCCCTGCTCTCCAGAGATGAAGAAAGCAAACACAGTGAGTGCCTGGTCCTAGCTATGGAAAACCACCAGTGGACTGGTCGTCCTCTGGACGTGTTCACTATTAGACTTTCCTCTGTTTAGCTTAAGATTTCTTGAGAGGCAAAATGGCTTTATTGTGATTATTCAGGTAACTCTGCTTCCTCATCCCAGTTTAGCTTCTGATTTCACTGTGGCATTTAAGGCACTCAGTGTCTCAGTGTTTCCCAGGTAAATGACGGAAAAGATTCTGACCTACTCTAGGTTAGGAAGTTAGTGGAATGAATTTTTTAAAAAAGGGTGGCTAGAAAGTTGTTTCAAAACAAGGAACCACCCATCAACAACACTGTAATGCTAAAACCTGAAATGATATCCAAGTAAATATCTGGGTGTGGTGAATGATTCCACTTTATTTCTGCTCGGGAGCTTTGGTACATGTTTGGCAATGCTCTGAACAAGGGCCTTCCCCTTGGGATGCCATGGAGACATTCATACATTGGCTTAGTTTATGTATCTCTATTCTCCCTAGACTCACATGAGAAGTTATTTCCCAATACTATTTGCTGGTCATTGTTGCCAGTCATGTTTTCTCTTTCTCATGTAGACCTGGTCTAGAATATGGCAAGAGCAGATTTTAGAATGTAATGGTACAAGGGGGTTGGACCTAGTGGCTCACATCTGTAATCCCAACACTTTGTTAGGCTGAGGCAGGTGGGTCGCTTGAGCTCAGGAATTCAACATGGTGAAACCCCATCTCTAGCAAACACAAAAAATTAGCCAGGCGTTGCATGTGCCCATGTGCCTGTAAGTCCGGCTACTTGGGAGGCTGAGGCTGCAGTGAGTGGAGATCATGCCACTGCACTCCAGCCTAGGTGACAAAGCGAGACTGTGTCTCAAATAATAATAATAATAATAATAATTTAATGGTACAAGGGATGGGGAATCACAGTTTGGTGACTTGATGTGAAACAGTTGCTTTTGAGATTGTGATTTTAAAGACATTTCATACGCCCTACCTTGGAAAAGTGTCATTTAAAAAATGCATTGAGATGTTACCATTGGGGGAAACTGGGCAAAGAGTACACAAGACCTCTATGATTTCTTACACTTACATGTAAATCTACAATTATCTCAAAAAAAAGTTTAATTAACAGTGAGTTAAGGAATAGAGTAAAGGAAAACTATGCAGATAGTAGATGCTGGCTATGTGTTTATACAAAGATTATGGAGGAAGAAATTTATTTTTTTTTCTGACTATGGGACTGGGCTTGCCTTGAGTAAGGGATGTATTAAGCACATGAATATTAGAGAAAACACAGGTTTATGACTTTGGATCATATTCTAGACCCAGCTCTATCACTAATCAGTTCTGTGGTCTTGGGAAAGTTGAATAAACTACTCAAACCTCAGTTTCCTCTTCTGCAAGGTGAGCGGTTTGTAGAGATTGAGGCATTTCAGCTCTATGATTCTAGGTTGACATTTATGTCTCCAGGAAGCAACACAAGGGAAGATGAATTAGGGCTCACTATTTGATAGCAACTAACACTGACTCAGATCACAACCAACACAGATTACAAGCAATTTACAAAGATAATGAATGTTGTATTAACAGAACCAAAATGGGCATTTTAAGTGTGTATCAGAAATATATTTTTACTCTCTTCTTCTTTTGCCTGGAAATCAGAATAAAGGAAAAATAATATACAGTATATTTCCAGTGTTTCCCTACAAAAGAAATGTAGAGTCTGAAATTCAGGGAGAGCTTTTGATTTTTGATTTTTTTTAGTAAGTCATGGAAGTGATTCCAACGCTAACCCACCCTATATGATGGCAACATCTCTTAAATCCCCCCAATCTTTTACTCTCTAATTATGAGCACTTGAAGGTAGAGACTATTCCAAGTTCAAAACCTTCTATCAATCTCCTTTGCCTACAGAATAGAAACAAAATCCTTAGCATTCATGCCCTTCAATATCTGACCCCACGTCTGTTTCTCCTCTTTGATATCTTTTCCCCTCTTTGATACCTTTGCTCTTGCCAAACTAACTGTACTAGGTTAAATAGTGTCCTCAAAATTCATGTCATTCCTGGAATCTCAGAATGTTACCTCATTTGGAAACAAATGCAAATGTAATTAATTAAGATGAGGTCATACTGGAGTAGGGGACCTTAAACCAATCTGGTTGGTATCCTTATAAAAAAGGAGAAGAGGCACAGAGGCACATATCTGCAAGGAGGAAGAGGTAAAGACAGACACACAAACAGGGGAAATGTCATGTGATGACAGGGCAGAGACAGCAGTGATGTGTCTACAAGCCAAGGACTGCTGGCAACACCAGAAGCTGAAGAAGGCATGGAGTAGATTCTCATCTGGAGCCTTCTGAGAGAGTATGGCTCTGCCAGCACCTTGGTTTCGGACACTTAGCCTCCAGAACTGTGTGAGAATACATTTCTGTTAATAAAGCACCAGTTGTGGTGCTTTATTATGGCAGCCTAGGAAACAAATACACTGATCTACTTACTCATGGTGCCCTGAGCCTGCCTTGGGCTCAGACATTTCTCTCCTTCGGCTCAATATTCCTCATACTTGGACATCACTTGCTGTCTTTTCTATCCAACCTTTGAACTGCAGCTCAAATCTCCAACTCATTCATCATCTGTTCTAATCTGTGCAGTGGGAAGTGACCTTCCCTTTAGAAGTATGCTCATGGCATTCATTGGACCTTATTCTGCACTCTTTGACAGCATCTTGTGGCTTGTTCTTTGACTTTTTATATTTTCATGATGGGAATATTGTCTTTTATCCCCTGCTAGGCCAAATGGTGCCCACTCTGTGCCCAGCACATGATGAGATTTTAATGAATATTGGTTGTTGGGTTAATGCTTTGGCAGTGGAAGCAGAGTCATGCAGCATCACTCTTTAAAACGAGAATCCCCGTATGTGTAGCTACGTGAAACACAGCCTCCAGGTTTTCTCCATGGTCTCTAAAGAAAGTGGCTTTTTTTTCATTCTCAGCAAACTATCGCAAGGACAAAAAACCAAACACCGCATGTTCTCATTCATAGGTGGGAATTGAACAATGAGAACACATGGACACAGGAAGGGGAACATCACACACCGGGGACTGTTGTGGGGTGGGGGGGGGGGACGGATAGCATTAGGAGGTATACCTAATGCTAAATGACGAGTTAATGGGTGCAGCACACCAACATGGCACATGTATACATATGTAACTAACCTGCACGTTGTGCACATGTACCCTAAAACTTAAAGTATAATAATAATAAAATAAATAAATAAATAATAATAAAGAAAGAAAGTGGCTTTTTAATACCCTACATGAAGCACTTCAGGGTGGTGTTGGTACATTGAGAAAGTGGGGCAAGGTGGGGCATTGATTCTGGCTGCAAAAAGGAACATCTGGTCACAATCCATTGGTCTGCTCTGTGATAGTTCAGAAAGCATGCTGTCCCATGTCTTGGAGTAAATAAAGCCTTTACTCTCTTGCTTCTCTTCTTCTGATCAACTTGCCCTGCTCATGTTCCAGGCCCGTGTTGCAGAGAATATGATTGAGGCCAATATTCCTTTAGGCAGTATGGAGGAAGGGCAATCCTGCTCACCTGGCAGGGAGTGAGATGGGGCTGGCGTAGTGACTCATATCAAGTGACATTTGCAAAGGGAGGCCTACTGTTCACTAGCGAGATGCCAAGCAATGTCTTTTGTTGGGCCCCTTGGAAGACTGACGTTTAGCCAGCAATTCTCTTTGAGGGAACAGGGGCAGAGAGGGGAAGTGGAAGGGAAGAGGAGGAGTAGAAGAACCTTTTGGAAAAACCTGAATTTGACACTGTCAATATTTGGGAATGTGCTGTCACCTTTATCAATATCCTACTGATCACTACTTATCAATATCCTTTGAGATCTGATACCTCCTTCTCTGACCAGCCATTCTGAGCTTTACCTTTTCTACTTTTACCACACTTTGCATCTGTATCATACAATCTCTATCAAATTATATATGTAGTGCCTTACTTTTTCTATTGATAGGTAACTGCAAAACTTTTTTTTTTAAAAAAGAAAATACTTAGAATAGAGGTCATTATTACATGAGTTTTGCTATATGTAGTGTAAGACAGCCTTTTCAAAACTGGGGTGAAAAGGGTTACAATGCAGAGACCTAGGTTTGCATTCAGTGGTGTTATCTTATAGCATAGGAGGCTGAATAATGGTCCCCAAAGATGTCTATGTCCTAATCCCTGGAACCCGTGAATATGTTGATATGTTACCTTGCATGACAAAGGAGACATTGAAGATGTAATTAAATTAAGGATTTTAAGAGTAAGAGGCTATCTTGAGTCATCTGGATGGGTCCATTGTAATCCCAGGGGTCCTTATAAGAGGGAGGTGGGAATGGCAGAGGCAGAACAAAAGGTGATGTGAAGATGGTGGAAGCAGAGGCTGCAGTGGTGTGCTTTGAAGGAGGAGGAGGAAAGGGCTATGAGCCAAGGAAGGTAAGTGGTCTGCCTGGAAGAAGTAAGGAAACAGAGTCTCCTCCACAGACTCCAGAACGAATGCCACTCTGCTGGTACATGGATTTCCTCCCATACAATCCATTTTGAACTTCTGACCTCCAAACGTTAAGATAACACATTTGTACTGTGTTCAGTTACGAAATTTGCATTAATTTGTAATAGCAACAAGCACACTACTCTGTTCTCTCACCTTGTTTATTTATTGTGTGTTTACTGCTTATCTTCCCCACTGGGATGTGTGTATAGTCCACAAGGACAGAGCATAACCAAGGCTCTATCCTCCCCCCACACACTCTCAAAACTGCCCTTGAACAGGTCACCAGCGAGTACGAAATTGCCAAGTCCAGTGGAAAGGTCTGACTCGAGTCCTCTTACAAGGTCATCATATTCACCTCTCAGCAGCTTTGGACATAAAATACTTCCTCCTTCTTGAAACATTTTTACACTGAGCTCCAAGAGACGACACTGCACTGGGTTTCCTCCTAGCTCACTGGCACCTCCTTCACGATCTCCTTTGTTGAATCTCCCTCCCCTTCCTCCCAAACACTGAAGGCTGGAGTATTCCAAGACTTAGTCTCCTGGAATATCTTATCTAACCATAACTACCCCCTAGGTGATTTTATTAAATTTAACTTTAAAAACAATCTGCATAATGAAGATAATCAGATGTATGTCACCATCCCAGAAAGCTACCCTACATGTGTCCAAGCTACAGCAAGCAGTATGTCCAGCTGCCTGTTCCACGTCTTGACATCATTATCTAATAGGCATCTAAAACTCACGTGCCTAAATGGAACAATTGATTTCCTTATTCACAATCCTTGCACCTCCCAAGCCTCTGTATCCATACTCCTTCCCTGTGGCTTAGGCTAAAAATATTTTCTCTTTCTTTTTGCCATATGGATTATTAAGTATATACATGTATGGTAGGGAGGGACAAAGAAGGTGTCCCTGAAGAGGTGACTTTCTATCATACTCAGAATAAAATGCAAACTCCTTGCAAGTCACATGAGGCATAATCTGAACCCTGGCTACACCCTCTTATCTCCTCCCTCCTCAATCTGAACCAGCCATGCTGGTCTTCTTGTTTTTTAGAGATGCCAGTATTTCCTTGGAGGCTTTTTAAAGTCACTGTTCTGCTGCCTGAGCCTTTCTTCTGCCAGAATGTCCTGTGGCTGTTTCCTTCACCCTATCCAAATTTTTATTAAAATATCAGCTCATCATAGAGGCATCCCTTGGCCACCATAATTTCCCTGTACGCTATTAAACCTGCCTTTTTTACACAAACACACCCACCCACACACCACTCCGTTCTCTCGCCCTATTTATTGTGTGTTTACTGCTTATCTTCCCCACTGGGATGTGTGTATAGTCCACAAGGACAGATCTTTTCGATGGTCTTGTTCATTGCTGCATTTTCAGCTCTTAGAATAGGGCCTTGTACATAGCAGGCATCTGATAAATACTTTTTAGCACTTCCTTATGTTAAAATCAAATGTCTTGCTTATTATTATACATCTTAGCTATATTGCATATTAGATTAGGTATATAATATCTCTTTTAAATTTCTTAAGATTAGGGACCATATTTGATGTTTTTCCTGTCACCCACATAAGGACACAATAGCCCAAAGCACATATGAGTGATTTTCAAATGAGTGATTCTTCATTTTGTCTTTTTGATTTGAACTCAGCAATGGAAATCATCTGGGGACCTTCTTTTCAAGTGTATGTTCAGTTATGTCAGGTGTTCTAGGTAAGAGGCCCATAAATGGAATTTGGAGGGCTCATGAGCCTCCTAAAATTGTACACAAAATTTTATGGGTATTTGTATTTTCCTGGAAAAACAGTCTATAGATATTTTCAGGTTCACAGAGGAGCCTCTTCCCTCAAGGTTGAAAACCACTGAGTTGTACCAAGGTATGTAGACTGTGGGTGACCTATGCCCAGGGCTGGGGCTGAATTGAGGGTGAGGAATCAGGAAGGGTGGGAGGAGTTTGCAATGCTTGGGATGAAGAGTGGCTGACCTTACTCACCCCCACTTAGCAGCCCAACAATTTCACACCAAGCTTATGGGTGGCAGAGAAAAATCTGTGATTGGGTCAGAATGCTAATGATATCATCTTGCATGCTATGACTGAGGGAGAAACTAGAAGATTTTAAGTTTTACTCCCTGGGCATTTTGACTTCCCAGCACATCCCTGGGAGACGGCTCAAAGGCCATCCAGGCCAACTAGCCATGCCTTGCTCATGAGTTACAGTCAGGCCAGGACAGGTAGGGCACAGAACCCCTCCTGTCCATGTTCTTCCTTCAGCAATAACCATGTCCCTCCGCCTAACACCAGTATGCCACTGCCTTGTGTAAGCATTCACTCACTATTTCAACTTCGTGTGTGTACATTAGACTCAACCAGATTTAAGATTGCTAGATGTCAAAACCCTCAATAAATATCAATCATAGTGTCACACGCATAGTGGTACTTAACTGCTCTTTTTCAAGTGAATAAATGACAACATATTAAATAACTAGGTGGCTGTATCTGGGACTTTCTCCAATTTAAAGAGCCAGGGAAGGTCCTGTCTCTCAATAGCAGATTGTTTTGAAACCCCCCTTAACATCAATGAAACTTTTTCAGTTCTAAGACTCTGTGATCATGGATTGAGAATAAGCTAGTGGATCTTGGCTGGGAATTCTTAAGTTTTACATGAGAATACCTTACATTCATGCAGTCCTTGACAGCTGTTGAAGTTTGCACACACGTTCTCAATAATCATGTACTATTTTCAAAGATAGAAGGGGCTCTGAGGAGTTCTCTGATCTATTTCACCTCTCCTTTGGGGCGACCTGAACAATTTAGGTTGATTTCCAGAGAAATAAGTCCCCCAGCTCCCCTCGGGTTAGGATCTGATAATTTTCTCAGTTACTGAGAGTCCTCTTACTGCTATTTAAATCTGTCTGCTCTGATTCTATCTTTAGTAGGCATTTAGATAAGACCTGAGGAGTTAATGTTTTCCTGGCAAAACCTGAAGGGCTACTTTGCTGTTCTTTCCCTTGTTTTATGAAGACTGGAGAACTGCTTAGCACTAAAACAGTCAGATTGATCTACTTTAATTAAGGTGCCCTGTCCACGGTGGATGCAAATATCTCACTGATGTTTCTATTTAGTCTGAATACACAACAAAGGCAGGAAAATGTCTGTTAGAGACACAATGTGCTTAGAACAGTCCTGCTGCAATGACAAGTTTCCAATGAGCTGCAAGGGTTGAGCTGGGAGCAGTCCAAAGACTTGATTAATCATGAAGGTCCTACAACCACACTGTGTCCAAGGGGAGAGTGGTATTTCTTACTTTGACAGATACTACTCATAACAACTGGGGCAGCATCATAAATGGCAATGGGGAAAATATTCCAAAGCTAAGGCTAAAATAGCAAACACAGGGAGTGTTGAGAAATGAAAGAAGCTTTCAGGACAGCATGGCACTGGCGATGGAAGGCAATTGTTCTTCTACTGTGGAAAGGAAAAAGGAGCTGTACAGGGGACAGGGCCAGCCCCATGCAGAGGCACCTAGTACCAAATGCCCAGCCGGACTGCCCGTCATTACTCTGGCTGCCATAGTGGTGATTTCCCAGAATTGTATTCCTTCCTTTGGACTGTCATGGACAGGCACTGGCAAAATGTGGGAAATGTTAACAAACTGACACAGTAGCAGCCATTTCTACCATGAGTTCACACTAGTATTTAAGAACTTGGCAGAGAACATTCCTTGAGGCAATAGGCCAAGAACATTTAATAGTGAGGACAGAAAATGTCCAGAACAAGGAACACAGTCTAGAAGACAGAGATGAGATATACTTATTAGGACACTTAATTTGGAGCAGACACCAAAAGAAGGCAGGAAGTTTGGGAATGACTGTGTTAGGGACACCTGAGGCCAATTTTGCTGATACCAACATTTTTCCTAAGATGGATCTGTTGAGAGTTTCTTCAATCAAACTAAGAGAAACACAGAAACATCTGTATATGACCTGGGGTAGCTTCCTCCTCCTCTTCTCTCCTTGTCACCATTGTTCCACTTCCTTTGACCCTTGCTCCTTTTCTCTGAGGGATTCAGGTTACTTGAATGACCAAAGGGCAAGGGGCAAGGTCCACAGCACCCCTCAGCTTGTGAGGCACAAAAATATTTAAGCATCTCCGTTGCACAGTATCTGCCTTGCTAATTAGCTCACGGATGTGATGTATGTTATCCAGCTCTCTGCTTCCAAAATTATCACAAATCCATATGGCTGTTTATTTAGCAAGGTCACAAATATTGGACACCATCATCATAACTATTTGAAAGAAATCCAACTTTACATCAACCCTGAAGTGGGGGGGAGATGGTAGTCATTGTGAAAAAAGCTACAAGATGAGCACACAAACCTTGAGAAGATGTTTGCTAGGTGCATTTGGCACCACATAAAAGATACTTATAAGACTCTGCTTTGTTATTATTTTAGTAACAGCTAGCTCAGCCAGTAGTTTCAAATCTCTTCATTTTCTTAGAATTTTGGTTTAGTAGCATACAGATGAGGATTCTTTTTTTTTTTTTAAGTAAGAATTCACACTTTGCTGTATTGATCAAGCAAAGCGAGGTCCTTTTGATTGCCTGGTGAATTAGGAAACAAAACCAGATCGAATCACAAGTTCTGGACTTACTGCAGCAAAAGGCAACGAAGGGTGCATTAGCCTCGGATTTCCATCCTAGCTGTGCCTCCTATGAGTTCAGTGGCCTCAGGCACATCACTTATCCTCTCTGAGCTTTTATTTTATCTTATTTTTTCATTTGTAAAAATCAGGATTATAGTAGTTCTCTAAAGAAGGCTGTGTGAATTAAATGAGCCCATACCTGAAAAACATGCTTTGGACAATATAAAGTACCATTTCTTAAAAAAAAAAAAAAAAAAAAAAAGCAGGAATATTCACTACATCAGTGTCTCAGATTAACATTCATGGGAAACTGGGAAGGTGAAGAGTTTGACAAGAAAAAGTTGAGAGGAGGAGGGTTCCTGAGAGGTCAGACTTACGTAAGGTAGTTCTGGTCCTGAACTCCAAAAGAGTTCAGAGCTGTGGTCTATTAGTCAGTCAATCATCAATAACTGACTGAGCACAAAATTTAAGCTGAAATTAGTTTTTTTCTGGAGACTGGGGCTTGTGGCAGGGGCAGTGTTAGTGGACTGAGTTGCTTTTCTGAGTTGGTCATCTTGTGAGTTTTAAGACCATGGAAAGATGGGCAAGAGTGAGGGTGGAAGAAAGTCTGTGAGTGAACTTTTGAGGAGTCTTGACATGCCACTTCCTTGTGCCTTTCCCCTGGTTTGTTTTTTTTTTTTTTTTTTTTTGAGGCAGAGTTTCACTCTTGTTGCCCAGGCTGAAGTGCAATGGTGCGATCTTGGCTCACTGCAACCTCCGCCTCCCAGGTTCAAGCGATTCTCCTGCCTCAGCCTCCTGTGTAGCTGGGATTACAGGAGCGTGCCACCACACCCGGCTATCCCCTGGGTATTTAAATGTCATTACCTTCACAGAATCTGAGACCTTTTTATAATCTCCTGGTTGATGTGGAGATACATTTGTAAGTATTGAGAAGCTGAGTTAGGTATTTGAACAATTACTTTGTTCACATTGTGCCGATGATTCAGTTATCCTCCTCCAACCGAGACCTGGCAACCTCATGCCAGCCTTGCTTGTTTGGGTCCCTGTTACTGATATTCAGGTTCCAGTGACCTAAAAATCTCAGAACAGCCTCTGTTTACTATTCGGCCTCTCCAAAACACAAGCCTGAATAAAAAACCAAATGGAAATGTATTCCTAGAAATATGTAAATGTTAATCCCATTTGTGATGCAGAATCGTGACAAAGTGTGTTACTTAAGTAGCTGCTGCTCAGCTATGAGATATTCTTTGGATGTTGGGGTGGGCTTTTTTTTTAAAGCTTACTTCATTCCATCCACACATCGGAAGTTTATGACATATTTGCAGAAGTCACTTCTCTTTCAGGCCTGTCCTCTCAGAACTGTGTGTCTTTTCAAAGACTTCCTAAGCAACATGGCAGACTCTCACCTGGACATCTCCTGTGTTCTCAGTAGACTCACTGTAATTATAGCACTGGCTTGTGTTCATTTCATACCTTCAATATGCCCTTTAAATAAACAGTGATGAGGTAGATTGGATGCTGGGAATTGAGACATTTGGAAACATAGATAAGGCACTGTGGAGTTTTCAGTACAGAGGCTATTGGTGTTCTGAGTTCACTGAATTTTCCCCTCACTCACCATTGCATGATTCAGCCACACGGGGATGACAGTATCTAGGACCTTGGGGTAAATGAGATCTCGATTGTAGAGAAAGAGGATCCAGAATGCCAAAAATACAAACTGGAAAATAAAACACAAAAAATAGCATCATTAGGCTTGTTTTTAATCAGAGCTTTCTAAGATAATCAAGGAAACACAGCTAAATAAAAACAGACAACCATTTTAAAGATATCTTACATATACATTATAGGAATGTAGTACATATACATTACAGTAATTCTACAATAAGCATTCTTCCCTTTATTTCATTGCTATATCTGCTCTTTCTGGGGATTCCTCAATGTGCCAGAGAGTTAGAGATCAATTATTTGTCATCGTGGCAGGCAGAGAAGATATGAATAAACAGGATTCCCAGACCATTAGTCATTTATTTTAACCAATAACTTCTTTTTCTAAACTTTCACCAGGAATGCTGAGAGTAGGCACATGGAGTAGCTTGAGTCATACACGTTCCTTGTCCACCCTCTAAATAGGCATGGCTAGGGGAAGCAGGAAGCCTGAGAACCATAAGTGCCAATCTCCCTGGAAAATGCACAAGCTAGCTGACTGAGGGCTGGATCTCCCTGGTGCTCAGAACTTTGAATTGATCTCCTCTTGTACTCCTTGCCTCTCTTGTCAAAGCATCTATCCTCTATGCTACGAAGTCAACGCATAGATAAGGAAGTTAAAAACTATTAAACTTCTGATCTTCCTATCTTCTGACATTTCACACACTCCATTTCTAAGCCTCAAAAAATAAACAGACTTCACTGTTGATTTTAAAAACTTGGCTATAGCCAGACTTGGTGGCTCATGCCTGTAATCCTAGCACTTTGGGAGGCCAAGGCAGGCAGATCACTTGAGTTCAGGAGTTCGAGATCAGCCTGGGCGACATGGCAAAACCATGTCTCTACCAAAAATACAAAAAAGTAGCCAGGTGAGACAGGAGGATCACTTGAGCCTGGGAGGTTGAGGCTGCAGTGAATCGAGATCACACCACTGCACCCCAGTCTGGGCAACAGAGTGAGACTTTATCTCAAACCCCTCCCCTACCCCCCAAAACCAAAAAGCTTGGTCATTAGAAGATTTTACGTGGGCAGAGGTAGAGGTATCCTGCAAAGTAATAGGTATCCTTGCTTTGTTATCAGAGAACTCACTAGGGCTTGGAGAGTTGCATTTTGCATTTAAATTAAGTTCTGTACTATAGGAAGCAGGACAATGACAGGTAGAAGAAGGTAGTCATTTCTAATTATAGGCCCTGCTGGGCAGCCAGCATGCCTGATCTCTGTTTATTTCCATTCTAGCTAACGAATGGAAAACATGAACAATGTCATAGAAATGTGGATGGCATCAGCATACCAGCTTACTGTCCCTGCCATATGTCTCACTTCTTCCTGACATCCATCCACTCAGCAACATGAATGAGGCACCCACTGTGTACCCCACACCAGGCTGTCTTTCTCTCCTCGGTTGTCTTTTCCATGTGCCACCTTTGAAGGTCTCATATCTCTTTTCAAAAAAAAAATTATTTGATGGTTTTCCACTTGCAGAAGTAACATATACTTATCGTAGCAAGTGAAACAAGATGTATAAAAGGGGAAAATTCGTCATCTCCCTCCCCAGGGCTCTCCATTCCCATCACCCTGATGGAACCAAGGTTGTCTCAGTTGTATTTTGATTAAGAAAGGTCTTTCAAACTTCCCCATTAGACGGCAATAAGGACCTTGTACCAAGCCTTTGCAGAGGTACAAAAGCTAGTGATAAAGCTGATCACTAATGTGCCATATTTCCTAAAGACACTGGGCAATGTGGCGCAGTCCTCAGACAGGACATTGTTGTAAATGCAGTGGGTGTGGTTTCCAATTATGGGCTCCCAAACAGCTTGGCTGCCCAGGAGAAGCGTCTGTCCATATGCACATTTCTGTTAGATTATGTACACATCTTTGAAACTTACCGTGGATACAGGAAAAGCCAGAGTGGTGAAAAGCAGGTCTCTGAAGGCAGTTAGGAACTTAATGTCTTTTCCCCCTTTGGTTCTTTTCAGCACATCATCCAGGCAGGTGACCCCGTAGAAAATGGTCTGCAAGAGCTAAATCCATTACAACAAATGAGGGCATTTTCATTTACTTTAATTAATACCTTCTTCACTGATGGAAAACTCCATCCCTCTGAGAGTAATGTGGCTTTGAGAGGGAGAGGGCTGTTGGGTTGTTTTGGTTGAGAGCCAATTCAAGGGCTGGGCTTCCAGCTCATTGGGTCCTGACCCTGCTCGCTAAGACTGATTGAGCAAATTTGTTTAGGGGACAATAATGTGTACAGTATTTAGTGTAATGGACTTGAGCTAACATGGAAACAAAATAAAGAGTCAGCCTAAAAGGGGAATGTAAGGAGATGGATACCTTGACGGCACAGAGGTTGGAAGAACCAAATAAACAGCTCAAAGGCAAAGAGGCAGATACAGGGTGGACAGAGTCAGGAGTCTTCCTGGGAAGGAAAATTAGGAAAAATGCCTAGTGCTGAAATCTCACTAGAGAAACTGGAATCAGGTCAAGAGGACCACCACGAATCTCTGTGCTCTCCCAAGAAAGGCACACAAAAGGGTGCCTTGCTCAGCCGAAGAAGAGCCGGTGCACTTTCTTCCTTAAATAGGGCACCTGCAGGCCTCACCGAGACAATCTGGCCGTGGCAGCAATTTAAATCCAAGGGGATAGAGCAAGCCATGAGCGCTGGTGGGTTACTAAGTGCTGTGTGGCCCCCAAAGCCAGGAGAAAGAGAAGGAGGGTATTTTTCAAGAAAGTAATACGATATGGAAGGCAAGCTTTGTACATTCTTGTTGCTTTGTACAGTTCTGTGGTTTCTCATTTAAGAACTGGTAGGTCATGAAGATATGGAGTTTGGGGGGTGGGGTTAAGTTAGGCTTGCGACAGAATCCATCCAAATCCTTGAAAGCCCTGGACTGGTACAAGAGGGGTGGTCTGGACTCTGCTTTTAGGGTATAAGTCAGGAAGGTTCTAGAGCCTGGGGAGCTGGGCTGGGGATTGATCAAGGTGGCTGTTGGGGAACAATCTTTGAGCTCTGGACTCTAGGAAAGACCTAGCAAAGTCAGCCACATGCTGCTCCTGGGCTGAGGGCGTAGGCAGGAAATGATACAGAGGTGGGTCAGACCAGCTACACCCATCACCCAGGAGCTTGTTAGAAATGCAGGACCTCCATCCTATCCCAGACTACGGAATCAAAATCTCTGGAAATGGGGTCCAAGAGTTTGTTTTTTAAGAAGCTTCTCCAGAGCTTGTTAAAGATTGTTTATCTGGGTGGGATGAGGGGAGAAATTGAAAAACTACCTATTGGGTACTAAGCTGATTACCCGGGTCACAAAATAATCTATACTTATATAACAAACCTGCAAATGTACCCTTGAATGTAAAATAAAAGTTAAAAAAAAAAAAGAAATTTTTGGCCAACCTTATTAAGATACACTTTACAGAATATAAAATATAGATTTTAAATGTAGAAAAAGATTATTTAATCTTTATGTAGGCTAAAGCTAGAACCACTGAATGAGACCCAAGTTTAGCCCTCAAAAATCTTACTACTCAAAGCTATAAAGCGGACTTTTATTCATTACTTGGTATGTGCCAGGCACTGAACTGTGTTTCATTCTCATAACAACCTTACGAGCCAAGTCCTATCATTAGACTCCCCCGCCCACCACCATTTTACAAACGAGGAAACAAACCTGCCTAAAGCTTCCTGGCTGGTAGATGTCAAACCCAGCAGTCCTGTTCTTGAGCTAGACTTCGAAAAAATAAAAAAAATTATCAGGTTTCTGAGCGTAGTTCAGATAAAGCATTGTGGGAGGTCAGAAGAGAGACAATTATCTCCAGGTGGGAGAATGAACGACCACTTCACAAACCACCGCTGCCTGGTTCCCACCCCCAGAGATTCTAATGTAATCAGTCTGGGGCTAGGGCCTAGGGGTTGGGATTTTTAAAATCCTCCCAGGTGATTCTAATCACGGGCAGCTGAGGCTGAGAACCACCTGCCTGGAGGAACTTCCGTTTGGAAATTCAGACCCTGCAGTCTCAAGAGAGGCGGGGCTGGGGAGATGCAGGCTGTTGAGCCCTCCTGTGGAACAAGATTGCAGGAAAGGGAGAGAGGAGAGGGGAGAACAGAAAAGCAGGCAGCAGACAGCAGGGAAAGGTCCTTGTCTAAGGGACAGGAAGGGAAAGGGACATAAAGGTACTAAAGAACGGCCGGGGGTAGAAGAGCCAGAAGATAGGAAATCATGGGCCCTGGGGTGGAGGAGCTTTCGAACCAGAAAGGGGTGTCCCAGGGAGGGGTGGGGCAACAGCTTTAAATGGCAGGAAGGGGTTGCCACCCTAATACTTCTCATTATTGCTGGTGATTTTGACATTCACACCCTCAGGGCTGCAGAATTTGGATGTGTAGTCATTTGCACAGGGAGTTGGGAGAAGTTCCCTCCTCTCTCCCTCCCCCACCAGTAGCCTCGCCTCACCCTGGTTTCACTTCCAGCCGCTCAGGCCGCAGCAGGCCAGGCTGCTGCTGTAGTTAGGAAGAGCAGGCACAGGCTTGGGCCCAGGGGAAGAGGCCTGCGCTGTTCTATCAGCAGGGCAATTAATCCCATCCTGAGCCTGGGCCAGGCCTTCCCTCTCTGGGGAGAGGCCGCCTCCGCCCGGCGTGTGAAGTCCATGTGACCTGCTTTCCTCAGGCTGGAGCTTCCTAGAGTCATCGTGAGTCAAGCTCCTCCTGACTTTCTCCTGCCTCTCCCAGTCACAGGATGTGGAAATCGGATTGGGGGAAAGAACGCATTACTCAGATCCTCCGGGCCTTCTCCATCAATAAAAACTTGCTTTACACCTCCAACTTGTCAATCCCCTCTCCCTCTCCACCCCAGCTCACGGTTACTTCTCAGGCTTATGGCACACGGGCCTCTCTAGGTGCCCACGGTGTGTGCCAGGCAGCCCTGTCGCCATCGAGCTTACTCAACATTGAGGCGTCTTTGTCCGAATTCACCACAAGCAGGTGGAACCCCCGCGTGGGGGCTCAGGAGGGAGGCACTAGGGAGCCGCCAAGGAAAAGAAACCTGCAAGAGCTGGGGCGTGAAGGGGCTGCCAGGAGCAGCTGGGGCACACGGAGAGCGAGAGAGCCTCTCCCAGGCTCCATGGGGAGGCTTCCAGGAGGGCAGCAGGGACAGGTGTGGATCAGCCCATCCCACCCGAACGGTCTGCTTATTCTCCAAAGACGATGCAATGTTTATAAAACTCAGGATGAGCTTGACTCACGATAACAGACGGAGCGATCAGGGGAGGCAATGTTAGCTGTTATGGGCTAATTTATATCCCCCACCAACCACCACCAAATTCATATGTCGAAATCCTAACCTCCAGGACCTCAGAATATGACTGTATTAAAGTGGTGATGAAGTTAAAATGAGGTCACGATGGTGCACCCTAATTCACTATGACTGGTGTCCTTATCAGAAAGGGAGATGAGGACTACAGACACACACAGAGGGAAGACCACGTGAGGGCACAGGGAGAAGGCGGCCATCTGCAAGCCAAGGACAGAGGCCTCAGGAGAAACCGACCTTGCCCACATCTTCAACTTCCAGCCTCCAGAACTATGAGAAAATCAATTTCTGTTGTGTAAGCCCAGTCCATGGTAGTTTGTTACGGCAGCCCTAGGAAACTATACAGTAGCATTAAAATATGATCGCCACAACTGGTCTTCTTTTGAGACTCTTACAACAAAATTACTATCATTTACATTTCACAGCTATTTTGGCCGCCCAGAAAAGCCCAGACGTAACGGCATCTACTTATTCTAAGTTTATTTCAGACCTGCTGCTCCCTGATTTATCCTTTCTCCTGGTTCTTCCCTAATTCTGTTCCCACTGCGTGTTCCGTGCCTTTTCCTGAAATGCTGCTTCTGAGTTCGTTAGCTGTCTTTTGTTTCTGTTGCTAGCTGACAAACTAACACCTGCGACAAAGCTGAATTGACACTTTTAAATAACTAATGCAATTCAAAAAACTGCAGTTAAAGGATATTTAGTTTTTACATTCATGTGTTTTCACAAACCCACAAAAATCTTCAAATCGTGGAAGCTTAGCCTTTCCAAGTCATCAAGCTTATCTCTTGCCTTTAAGCCAGAGCCCTCTCTCTTTAAACTACCTTAGGAAATGAGAATTTCTTCTATTTAAAAAGTAATTCCAGGGAGGGAGATTCCACAAGTTTCCTGAGCAAGACATTACAAGTCTTATTGGATGAGTCAAGTAATCCAACACCTAACTCAGGACTGTGCCTGACTCAGCCAGGCGGGACTTTCTTATTTCTCTCCTTTGAAATGATGCAAGAATTTGCGGTGGAAGACTACACCAGAAGAAAACAGCAATTGGGGGCTGTGATGAGTCCTTTATATAACAGTGGTGGTTGTGTTTGGGGCAGGTACTTTGCCAAGTATATCTGTATTCGTATGGAATATAGGATTTCTGTCATCATTCATACACATTTAACTTAAGAAACTGAGATTAAAGGATGCAATAAAGAACACAGGAGGAGAAAGAATGTGCAGAACCACAGTTTGGAATAATGAAGAGAAAAATGAGACCAAGAGCATCAAGGGACAGGTTGGAAAGAAGTACCAGAATGCTTGGCCAATGTCGCATAGCTGAGGACAACGGGCTTCAGTACAGCAGTAGGGTGGCTGTGGGATAAAACACCTTCATGATGGGATGGCCTCATGCCTGTTAGAACCATGTTCTGGTCATTCACTCATTCAACCAACATTCACGGAATGTCAGTTAGGTACAGAAATTGTCGGTGAGGTATCAGAACATAATACAGGCCAGGGAAAGCTCTGTGTTAGTGTCTTTATCTGGAATTAGGAAAAGAAGAAGTGGAAGAAGATGATGAGGAGAAGGGGGAGGAGGAAGAGGAGGGAGAGAAACCTTTTCTGTATGTTTGGTATTTTACACGATGCAGGTCAGGTTCCGTGGGAAACAATCTGAGATTCTGAGATGTGCCTGCAGGATGTTCACTGAAGAACGCTCTCAGACATCTATGAGAGGCAAAAAGGGAGAAGGATTGAAGTGGGGGAGGCTAAGTGCTGGGCAGTTGCATGGAATCAGCTGATCCCTTGAGGAGCTCTGAGCTGAGCTGCTCGTTCAGAGCTGTCCGGGAGTGCAGCATTTGCACCCCATATTGGATGCCAGTTATGGCAGGCAGCAACGCCAGGGAGGGACCTAAACCTTGGTCGAGGCAGCTCCCTTCTGCTGAGGGCAATTCTGGGAGGGGATCTCAGCTTTGCACCATCAGCAGCCAACACTCCTGAGAGCTGGGGACTGAGTACCTCAGCGCTGGGGAGGTATGAGGATCTGGGTGCCTTATCAGAGTATCCACTGCACATGAGAAAACTGAAGCACAGAGAAGTTAGGCAAGTCACTCAAAATCACACAGCAAGTGAGCACAGCCAGTGTTCTGGTTTCAGAAGCCAGGTCTTCAATCACTCATCTCTATACTGCGTCCAAAGAACCTACCAAAATGCTGTCATAGTTACTTGCTCAATAATTTATAGCTGCTTTATTTTGGGTGCTGGTGGTGACTATCACATAGTTCTCTCAGTCCTTACCCTTTCAGCTATTGAAGTGCATCTTTGTGAGGCAGAAATAGTTAAGTGTATTTCTGACTCCACGTTGCTGAAGAGTGCCATAGGGGTTGGGTGCGGTGGCTCACGCCTGTAATCCCAGCACTTTGGGAGGCCAAGGCAGGCGGATCACAAGGTCAGGAGTTTGAGACCAACCTGGCCAACATGGTGCAACCCCATCTCTACTAAAAATACAAAAAAAATTAGCCAGGCATGGTGGTGCATGCTGTAGTCCCAGCTACTGAGGAGGCTGAGGCAGGAGAATTACCTGAACCCAGGAGGCAGAGGTTGCAGTGAGCCAAGATTGTGCCACTGCACTCCAGCCTGGGGGAACAGAGAGAGATTCCATCTCAAAAATAAATAAATAAATAAATAAATAAATAGTGCCATAGATTATTACTTAAGGTTGGTCCCCCAAGTGTTGAAGTGGGTGCCATACTATAAATTCAACCCCATCTTCTCACTGTTCACAGGCTGCCTTGAAGTTTAGACCCATAGAGGCCTCCCAGCTCCTCTGTTCCCCCAGCCCCAGGCCAGCAACCCCAAGGACTTATGTGGTATTGCCACTGTTGTCATCATGAGAAGTTGAGGGTGATGACGACGGAGCTGCCTGGGGCTTGGGCAACTTATGAAAAGGGAGGGAAAGGTCATGCTTCTGTTGTTGAAGGGGGTGTCAGGGGCGTGGGGAGGGAGGGGCCCACTCAGAATCTCCCCTGGAGATCCCAGTTATGTGGCCCCACCTCTAACAATGTTTCAGAAGGAAGCTTATCTTTAAAAAGAGGAAACCCTAATAAACTGAATGAATTCTGCGAGCCAAGCTGTGGCTGCTGAGCCTTGCCCTAAACCCCCTAGCTCATATTCTCTGGGATTAGGGACAGTCCCTGGATGGAAATGGGGTGGACAGAGAGCAAGGGACATAGCATTTGTGGAGGACTCAGGCACTGGATGATCTGAGCCAACCTAAGCTGCTTGAGGACACCCATGGCACTGCCTTGGTCTCACGCCTAGCCTCTGGGGTTCCCCATTCTGCATGGCTGTCTGCTGGAGCCTGCAGACTCTACCACCAGGACGGCCTGGTGCCTGCGGGCAGCTACAGCAGGGAGAGCAGTGGCTCGACAGTGGTCCTTCTCCAGCTGGGAAGATGGGGCATGCAGCTCGGGGAGGGAGAAATAGTAGCCATGAAGGGGAAGGGGGTGGATGACTCCTGCTGGCCTCCACCCCGCAACAACCTAGGTGCTCAGTGAGGAGACTGATGTTCTACTAAGTCACCCTCCTGCATCACCTTCTCTACCCAGAGAAGTTCACCATCACCTCCCCATCTTCTCTCCCCACTGTCCACTGCCTAACACCCTGCTGACGCCATTCTGAGCGCTTCCCACCTGTCAGATCATTTCTCCCCCATGGCTACCCTATGGTTAGGTACTATTTTTATTTCTATTTGACAGACGTGGAAATGAAAGACACAAAGAAGTGCCTAGCCCAGGGTCTCGGGGGCAGTAAGCAGTGGGACTGAGGTACCATCCCAGAGATCGCAATTGTAACCATTGTGAAATACCACCTCTCCCTCCCAGCAGGGAATCAGTGGCCCCTTCACTGAGGTCAGTTTACTCTCTTATTAGGCAGAGACTCCCATCTGTCCTCTCCTACCTTCACTCTCCTTAGTCAGAAATGGGTCACCCTGACCAATTCTCAATGGCACCTTAGCCACTACCACCAACCCCAGGGGAGTAGCTCAGTGCAACTCGTGTCTGTCTCCTGTCTCCTGTCTGTCTCCCCTTCCAGTCCCCTGGGATAGCTTCAAGGGGAACTGGGGCAATGCTCACAGTGCCAACTGGCACAAAAGGGGGCTTTGCTCTTACAAAGGGGACAAAAATGATACTCAGCCAATTAGAAATTCAAGCTGTTTACGAGGAGGGGTGTAAATTTTCTGGTAATCAGGACTGGATACTAACTTCCCCAAGGTGAGGTAAAATAAATATAAGAATGTGAGCGTAAGTTGTGAGACCTTTATGACTTAATAAACACAACCACCAATTAATTAGTCATGAATGAACACTAATTAATCATTAGGAGACACAACCATTAATCAGCCCATGAATCTCAAGAGCTAGACATTTGCAGGTCCAATATTTCACCTTAAGCAACATATTCGAAATCTACATTAAATCGATCCTCTGAAATACACTCAACCCATCTTCACCAGTTGGGAAGCATTTCATTAGGTCACACTTTCAAGATGACTCCTAATGGAGCTCAGAAAGAAAATCACCACAGGCAAGCCCCTCTCAGCTTATTTACGAGGGCCAGAAGATACCAGAAGAGAGGGACTGCTTGAGGATGCAGAAAGGCTGAGGTCACGTCAACGTACCAAGTCGCAGCTTTTTAATATCTGGGTATCCTGTGCCAGCCACTGTGCTGAATTCAAGGTAGAAATATAGACAGTTAGGGTTGGCAAGGACCTAAGATTAAAAAAAACTTCTGTTTTGGAGCCAAAGTTTGATTGGAATGTTAAGACTCACATGGCAGGGAGAGAGGGAATTAGAAAACAATACTACATATAAATCAGCAGAGACTGAGAGATGCTGTGAAAATCAGAGAAAGGAAAAGGAAATTTGGACTGGAGTTGGTCAGCAAGGATTTGGGAGGAGTATATGTGATTCCCAATGTTCTATGAAAGAAGCAATGTGGTGGAGAGAGGTAAGTAGGCCTTTCTTCTAAGGATAGAGAGAACACCGGGCAGAGAAGTGACAGCAGGAAGCCCAAGGACCAATACTAGTGAGACGCAGTCCTTACTGCAGAAGAGACCAGCCTCCCAGGGAGAGGGAACCCGAAAGGCTGGTTGGGCAGGTGAGCTCTTGAATCGGGAGTTTGACATTGGGTCCATGAGGCAGGAGGGAGCCACTGTGGTTTCCTGAGCGGCAGGCCACACTTTTAGATCCAGGTCATGGTATTAAAAAACAAACCAAAACCAGTGCTTTGAGAAGATTAATTTGGAATCTAAGTGGCTGGATTGGACCATGAATGGACAGTAAAGAGATGATATGGTCATCCAGGTAGGCTTAATATAAGCCTGGAATGAGAGAGACAGTAGTAAGGTTGAAGAAGAAAGGATGAACTTAGTAAAAGGAAAAACTAATAGGATTTGGTAGCTGATCAATCAGGGAAGCAAAATTGGGATTAACACTAGGAAATGATAGTATCATTGACAAGATAAGAGACTTTTCTCACTCTTGGAAAATAAGGGCTCTTGGAAATGTAGGTGAGCTAGAATTAAAAAGTCAGGATCAGTTGTGTGTGTGTGTGTGTGTGTATACAAAGAGGTAAGGGAGCTAGTTAATGAGTGTGGTGATAAATCTATTCTTAGCCACACATAGTGTGAGGTAGGACATTCATACTGGAATTGGATTTTATTAGAAAGTCAGTCCTAACTACAGACACACTTCCCTTTTAGTGGACTGTTTTTCATAGAAAGCCAATAGAGACACAAACCTTAGGGGTGTGTGTGTATGCGCGTGTGTGTGTGTGGTTTTTTGTTGTTGTTGTTTACTGTGGCACTGCTAGTTATACAAAAAACATTTTTTGTTTTGTTTCTGTTTGTTTTTCTCATAAAATTCCATGATTGAAACAAGTAGTCACCTTGAAGTTTTCAAAGACACTAGAGCTGTGTTCAGGGTTCCAATTTTTCAGGCCCAAATCAAGAGGCCACTAACCAACCAGTGAGGAGGAAGCAGCCACTTTGGGCCTCTTTGATTTTAACTCTCTCCATTTCCACGTCCTTAGCATTTCAGAGTGTCACAGTTTCTGACCACATACATTCTCCGCTTGTCAAATGAGGATTACAATTCTGAAAACAGATGTTTATGTGGCACCCAAGATTTTAGTCAAAAACCTCAAATATTAATTCACATCCCCAAATGATTCCCCATTATTAGCTTTTAACTTTAAAAGTATTTTTTTAAGCTATTCCTCAAAGTATTTTTCATAATCTGCTTTTCTCCCATTCATTCACACTTCATCAGAATGCAGTCAGCCAGGTTAGGAAGACAAGAAAGGAGTAAGTCATAAGATTGGTTTTTAAATAGTTGAAAATGTGTATTTGCCATTCGGTTGGGTGATTTGTCCTTTAAGATGGAGCCTGAACCTATAAAAAATTGAGGTGGGAGCTGAACATGGCAAAATGTGTTTGCTTTTCTTAGATAAATCTGTTAGTCTGTGTGTGCTGTAAAATGGCATTATTCCTTCATTGGAAATTACACTTCCTACACACCATACGCCACTCTGCCTTCTCTTCACAGACTTCCCCAAGCAAAGTTCAAAATGCCTCCTGCATTTGTAGTTAATCCCATGGTGAAACCATTAGCATGGTCCCCTCTTTGAGCTCATCTGAAAAGAGCTCCAAGATGAGATTTTTTTTTTCAAGAGAGCATTTAACAATGAGCCAGCATAGAAATGTTAACTATAGATAATTTCCAAATTGGGTTTATCAGAGCAAATTGTTAAGTAAACAAAAAACCCAAAACTCACAAAACGGTGAAGAAGGAAGACAAATAACAAAATTGTGTATTTAATAAAATCCAAAGATGATATGTGTGGCAGCACTGATATTCTAGAGAAATGGATCGGTTCCTGGTACGGACATATGGACTTACCAGATTAAGCAGCGTCATATATTTCCACCTTGCACCATTTGCCAAGATTTTGGGTTTCACCTCGTCTTTTCCTTCCTGTGAGATGTAATAATTGAGGAAAGTATACCAGCTCAGAACAAGGAAGTGGTATATGCATGTAGAAGTCTTCGTCATGGCGAGTGCTGACCGGGGCACCGTGAATGTCTTGAGTACTTTCTGGCGTCCTTCTGTGGGTCACAGCCTAAGTCCAACAGCAGGCCGGAGAGCTACAAACCACACCCCTCTGGGACTGAGAGTTCCAACACAGGCTGAATTTGGTTCTCTTTTAAGCTCCTTTCCTGATAAACTTCAGAGGCAGGATTACTGCTGGTTTTCAGATGCCTGCATTTAGATAATGATAGATAATCTGTAGATTTGCATAAAATACAACATGTGGGCTTTGAGAAGGGCAGGTAGCAATGCAAGAGCTGTACATTGTACTGTTTCACTAGGGCACTGGGGCAGGGGCATGGTTAAATGAAGTAAGCATGAAATACTAGGAAAATCTAGCGAAATACTTCCATGGCTGTAGTCTCTTTTCTTTTCATTTGCATATAACAAGGAAGTTGCAACCTTATCTCTTGAGAAAAGGAGGAGCAGGTTGATAAACCAGATCATGGGTGTGCTTAGGGCATGAACAGTAGAAAGGAAAAGTGTGTTGTAATTTTGCTCCTGAGGTCTCTGAGATTCTAGAAAGTCTGCAACAACCTTTGATCCTCCAGGGAGCAGCTCCAATGGTTTCTTTTCTTTTTTTTTTCACTTTTGTAACTATACCCTAGAGAACCAAGAGTAACCCAGGGCTGTCCTAGACACTCCATTTGCATAGGCATTTCTGTGCCCTGGGAGGGAAGAAGCAGCACAGGAGACCATCCTTACTATGGCCATGACCCCAAAATACCTGACTTTAGACATTGCTGGGAGAGGGTGAGAGTCCCCGCTCTGCCATGAATAGGATGAGACGTGGCTGGGCTAGGCAGCATGCCGGACTAGGCTCTGACTCAGGTTCCACAGAAGGGAACTGAGGAAGAACTAGAAGTGGATGCCTTGTGACATCGCCAGCTTGTTTCCCTGGGCAACTGACTCCGAGGGGTGAGCAAATCCCTCAGAGAAATGCTCCTGACACAGTTATGTAAGTCTGTAATTGGTGCTTTTCAATGACTTAACCAGGGCTTAAAAGTACTAGCAGAAAGAACTGTAGGCTGGACAAGGAGGACAAACCATAAACAAACCCACCTCCTAAGAGTCAACAGACTCCCAATATCAGGATTGGGAGATGGGAGGAGAGCAAACCTGAGCCCGCCATGGAGTTCTGCATTGTAACCATGTTTTTTTTTTTTTTTTTTTTTTTCATCTGTTGGGGCTGCTATAACAACATACTGTAAACTGGGAAGCTTGGAAACAACAGAAATTTATTTCTCAGTTCTGGAGGCTGGAAGTCCAACATCAAGATGCTGACAGAGTGCCTGGTGTTTAATGTGGGTCGGTTTCCTGGTTCATAAATAGTGCCTTCTGGCTGAGTCCTCATGTGGTAGAAGGGGCAAACAAGCTCCCTGAGGCCTGTTTTATAAGGTCACTAATCCCATTCATGGAGATGCTGCCCTCATGACCTAATCACCTCGGAAAGCTCCCCTCTCCTAATGCCATCACCCTGGGAGTTAAGATTTCAACATAGGAATTTGCAGGGAACACAAACATAGACCATAGCAAACCATTCTCAAAGGAAGGGGTGATCTGGGAAATGGGTACATAAAACTCTGTACAAAACTCCACAGCCTGGGCTAAATTGCAAATAATAACAGAAGCTAATACTTTTATAGTACTTACTGTTTGCTAAACATTGTTCCAGTTGCTTTACACATATTAGCTGATTAGCACTCTAAATAACACTATGAGGTAAGTACTATTACGAATTAAGTACATTTTCAGATGAGGAAATTGAAGCCCGATCTGCTAAAAGGATGTGTTCAACACTTTGTAAGAGGCAGAGCTGCCGTCTGAACTCAGTGTGATGGTTAATATTGAGTGTCAACTTGATTGGTTCGAAGGATGCAAAGTATTGCTGCTGGGTGTGTCTGTGAGGGTGTTGCCAAAGGAGATTAACATTTGAGTCAGTGGATTGGGAGAAGCAAACCCACCCTCAGTCTGGGTAGGCACCATCTAATCAGCTGCCAGCGTGGCTAGGATAAAGCAGGCAGAGGAACGTGGAAGGACTAGACTTGCTGAGTCTTCCGGACTTCATCTTTCTCCCATGCTCTCAGGATGCTTCCTGCCCTCGAACATCGGACTGCAAGTTCTTCAGCTTTTGGACTCCTAGATGTATACCAATGGTTTGCCAGGGACTTTCGGGCCTTTGGCCACAGACTGAAGGCTGCACTGTTGGCTTCTCTAATTTTGAGGTTTTGAGACTCGGACTGATCCACCACTGGCTTTCTTGCTCCTCAACTTGTAGACGGCCTGTTGTTGTGATTGTGTGTCACTTCTTAATAAATTCCCCTTCTTATATACATACATCCTATTAGTTCTGTCCCTCTAGAGAACCCTAATACAACCAGTGTACCTGCCTACAAAGGAACAATGTTGCTCTGCACACTCTCAGACTCCCACTTTGATATTTCTCCTCTCCCTACTGAGTGCCCCTTTTTTTTTTTTTGAGATGGAGTCTCGCTCTGTCGCCCAGGCTGGAGTGCAGTGGCGCGATCTCGGCTCACTGCAAGCTCCGCCTCCCGGGTTCACGCCATTCTCCTGCCTCAGCCTCCCGAGTAGCTGGGACTACAGGCGCCTGCCACCACGCCCGGCTAATTTTTTTTGTATTTTTAGTAGAGACGGGGTTTCACCGTGTTAGCCAGGATGGTCTCGATCTCCTGACTTCGTGATCCGCCCATCTCGGCCTCCCAAAGTGCTGGGATTACAGGCGTGAGCCACCGAGCCCGGCCGAGTCCCTTTTATTCTTCTCTCCTCTCATCAGAAAATTATCTCAGAAAAGGATCAATATGTTTTGAAACTTGGTGCACATATGAATGAATGAATGTCTCCAAGGGTGTTTTCATTTTAGACACCATTGTTGATTTAGAGGTTTTATTCCTTTATACAAAAAAAAATCTCAAGTCTAAGTCTGCAGATGGGTAAGGATTGACGCAAAGGTAGGAAAGGAGGGGAAGACAAAGACCCAAATCTCTGAGATGTGTGTGTCCAAACCTGGACACTGGCCTTTCACCACCTAGATGGTTTTTTTCTCTACGTTAGCCTCATTGCCCACAGATGGGGCCTCTCATAAATATTGATAAAATTATTTAAATTTATTTGTAAGAGTTTTAGTGTTTTACATTGGGATCCAATGAATTGTTAGCATTTTAATAAATAATGACATTAATATATAAGGATTTAATAACATGTAATATCATTTTAATACATATTAATAATTAATAAAATGATATTTTAATAAATAACATGTATATGTATATAAGGATTTAATAATTACATGTAATATATGTATATAAGGATTACATTATGAGTTAAGGATTATGAATTAAGAAATAGTTTTATTTCTTAAGAAATATTTTAATATTTTAAGAAATAAAACTATTTCTTAATTCAACATCTGCATTTTCTTATAAACTTTTCACAAAATTGTTGCCAATGAAAAATCTACATTGCAACCATATTCACATCATAATTTGTGTTCCTGGTTGAATAACCAGATCCATTTTCATGAAGTAGCCTGAACATCTGTTCCCCACCATGAGACCAGGTGGAGCTTTGGAGAGCAATGAATGTCACCTCTTAGTTGCACGTTATAAACTAATACATACTAAGCGTGCTGTTTGTCTGCCTTTTCCTTTCTCCAAGTATCTGAGGGCTTCACGTCATATCCAGGAGAAGTGGGAAGGAATTGTTCAAAACTTTTATTATTTTACACAGGAAATTTTAAACATTTAAAAATAAGCATATTTCATACTTTGATTTGGATACTACACAGGCCACTTGGTTACTAAGAGTGACTTTCTTTGAAACTCTCTACCCCCCTGGGAGTCCGCAACATGATTCTTTAATTTCACAAATACTTATTAAGCAACAGCTATCTGCTAGGTCCTGGGGATTCCCCGAGGAAGAAGAGCGATGCAAACCCTGCCCTCATGGAGCTTATATTTTAGCAGGAAAGATGAACATTAAGCAACAACAAAAACAAGTGTTAATTTATAACTATGGCAACTTCTGTGAAGGACAAACACAGCAGACTTATTAGAGGGGATGGCAGTATCAGACCTGGTGTGGGTAGGGCGTCAGGGAAGCTAGCCCTAAGGAAGCCACGTATGAGCAAGGCTTATTCTCCCAACATGCTCTTACTATCCTTCTCAGTCTGTTTAATGAGCTCCTCTTCCTCCACCAGCTCCTTCTGTGTTGGCATTCCCCAGAGAGCTGGTCCAGCTTACCGTCCGTCTCCCAACACATACTCACCCTAGTGATTTTATCCATGATCATAATTTCTACCACTGCCTTCCAGTTTGTGACCACAAATTATATACCTCTGGTCCAGGCCCTCTCCCTATCCCCACCAAGCTTCAAACACATCTTTGACTACCTGTTGGAATCTCCTGAAGGAGACAGACACGCCTCAAACTCCATACGTCTAAAACGAGCTCACTGACTTCCGCCAAACCAGGCTTTTCTTCTCTAGTCTCTGTCCTGTGACCATGGCCTCACCATCGACCTGGGAGCTTCCTGTGTCCTCCCGCTTTTTTACTCTTCAAATCCAGTTAACCACCAAATCCTGCCAAGTTCATTTCTTACATCAGGGTCAAATCAGTCCCTTTCTTTCCATCCCTTCTACAACTGCCCTCGTTCAAGTGGCCTCCATCTCTTGCCACCACCATAGCAACCAGCAACCTAGCTGGTTTTCCTGAATCTAGTTTGATGCCCCAACGCTGTTTTTCACAAGGTCAGTGAGTGATTCTCTCTGAAATGCCACATCCCCCACCAGCTCATGTCGTTTTACTACATCAGCATCACCCACAGCATTACATCCAAGTTTCATAGCTTTTAATAACCTGCCCACTTCCCACTGGCTCTCTCCATCCTCGTGTGGCATCCCACATTGGATGTCACTCCAACAACACTGCATTGACAGAGCTTTTCACCCACACCTGGCTATGTCACATACCGGCACCTTTACTCCTACTGTCTCCTCTCCCTGATGCCTCCTCTCAACATATCTTTGACTGGTTACGTCATAACCCTCATTTAAAATGCAGCTCAGCAGCTTCCTTTTCCAGGAACCCTTCCTGGATGGCCACCACAACCTGGCCATCTTAAACAGCTCCCTCCTGTCTTCTTTAACCTGCTATGCATCCCTGCATGTTGCATAATGATTAGGAATTAGTCTTTTTTGTACGTCATTATCTCCTAGGGTTCACATATGATGTGTTTGAATTCCCAGAGCTTAGCATAGTGCTGGACACACAGTAAGTACCTAATAAACATCTGCTGACTAAGAAAACAAATAACCCAATTTAAAAAATGGGAAAAAGACCCGAATAGACATCAAAAGATGACATACAAATGGCCAACAGATATATAAAAAATGTTCAACATCACTAAACCTCAGGGAAATGCAAACTAAAACCACAATGAGATATCGCCTTACACCTGTCAGAATGGATGTTATCCAAAAAAAAAAAAAGAAAGAAAGAAAGAAAGAAAAAAGAAAACACGTGTTGGCAAAGATGTGGAGAAAAGAAAACTCTGATATACTGATGGTGGGAAATAAATTAGCACAGATATTATGGAAAACGGTATGAAATTTCCTCAGTAAATTAAAAATAGAACTATAATATCATCCAGCAATCCCACGACTGGGTATATATCCAAAGGAAAATGAATCAGTATGTCAAAGAGACACGTGCACTCCCACAGTCATTGCAACATTCTTATTTACAATAGCCATGACAGGGACTCACCCTAAGTGTTCATCGATGGATAAATGAATGAAGAAAGTATGGTACGGATACACAGTGGAATAACGCTTAGTCTTCAGACAGAAGAAACTTCTATTTGTGACAACACAGGTGAACCTGGAGGGTATTACGTTAAGTGAAATAGGCCAGGCACAGAAAGACAAATACTCCTTGACCTCATTATATGTGCAGTCTAAAAAAGCAGAGAGTAGAATGGAGGTCACCACGGGCCTGGGGCGGAGGTGGGAGTGGGGGTTGGGGAAAGTTGGTCAAAGGATATAAAATTTCAGTTAGACAGGAAGAATAAGTGTAAGAGGTTTATTGTACAACATGGTGACTATAATTAGTAATAATGTATTGTATGCTTGAAAATTGCTAACAGAGTAGATTTTAAGTATTCTTGGCGAGGCATGGTGGTTCACACCTATAATCTCAGCACTTTGAGAGGCTGAGGTGGGAAGATCACTTGAACCCAGGAGCTTGAGACCAGCCTGGGCAGCATAGCAAGACCCCGTCTCTACTAAAAACACAAAAATTATGTTTTTGTGATGTGCACCTGTAGTCCCAGCAACTTGGGAGGCTGAGGTGGGAGGATTGCTTGAGTGTGGGAGGTGGAGGTTGCAGTGAGCCAGCATCACACCACTGCACTCCAGCCTGGACAATAGAGTCAGACCTTGTCAAAAAAAAAAAAAAAAAAGTATTCTCACCGCAAAAAGAGGATAAGTAGGTGAGGTAATGCATATATTAATTAGCTTGAGTTAGCCATTCCACAGTGCATACAGATTTCAAAACATCATGTTGTGCACCACAAATGTATACAATTTTTATTTGGCAATTTAAAAAATAGTAGCAGTTATGAAAATATTTGCTGAATAAATGAATATGTGGAATACCAGGTGTACCAGTCTACCGAGCCTTACCCTAAAGCCGGCTCATTCATTAAAAACCTACTGTGTTCAACGTGTTCAGCTGCTGGGTTGTGGGGAGGAGGTGGAATACAGAAATGAGTAAGACAGCCTGAGCCCCGGAGGAACTCACTGCCAAGTGGCAGAGACAGGTATGTAAACAAAAAATTACAGCATGATGTGATAAGTACTATAATAGAGGTATGCACAAAGTACTAATGGAGCCTAAATTATCCTGCACATTATTCTGTCATTCTAAATATATGGAAGATTGAGCTAACGATGAATGCATTGAGTAAGTCATGGGAAACTCCAGACACCACGTAGGAGAAGATAAGGATGAAAGGAGTCCCACAGTAAAGTAGTCATGGCCACCGGCACAAATAACAGTTTTTCCTGGTAAAGATATAACCCATTTCTTGGCCAGTCACCAAGGGATAAGGTACAAAACGCAGGGAGTCAGGGCAAGGGGCTTGAGTCCAAGCCTGTATATGCTTCAGGACCTGGAGCTGATCAGCCATCAGCTTCTCTGGGGTGTTAATTTCCTTCGGTATGAAATGGGGTTCAGGGAACCTGCAACAGTGACTATCTCATGTCCCAAAGCTGGGACGCCAACTGAACTAAGGGAGCAACTGACCAGGGCTGGCCTCTGAAGAAATGCCCCAACCCCACACAGATTCACACACCCCCACACACACCATGGCGCCAGCTGCAGCGGGAGGGGTTGGACGACACTCCTAGGTGACGTCTGCAGGTTGAGCAGCGATGAGCAGGAAATAGGGACACAGGGCACAGAGTCCTTGAGATTATGGTGAACAAGTCTGCTGAAGTGTGGTTTCATTTTGACACAAGAGAGGGGTTCTCCAGCTGCTGTTGCTAAACAAACAGCTAACCAATATAGCTCTCAGATGTTAAACCTGAAGACAAGGCAAGTCGGCGGGACTTGTACTTGTTCCACCTACCCTCGTAATGTGCACAGAGCCCGTCTCAGATGGCTCATTCCCTTTACAGCTGATCTGTACTTCCACAGTTCTTACAGAACTGTCTTACCTTTGCCCATCCTTGTGCTAATAGTCCCATCATTAAACTCTCAGCTGAGGGAAATGCCTTTTCCTATTGGAACCTTCACTGATGCAGCCAATCACTATGAGCTCCTCCAGGGGTGTCTGATACATCTCTGTGCCCTCAGCACTATTCATGGTAGCAGGTAAATTATAAATGCTAATAGAGATTTGTTGTTTGCCCAACTATCTACCCCAACAGTAACATACTTAGGAGTCCAACTCTCCCCCGGGGCCCGAGCCATGACCCCAGCACAAGCAACCTTAATAAACAGCTTGCCCCCGCCTTCCTCAAAAAATGAACTTCTCTCTTTCTAGGACTGGCAGGTTTCTTTAGGACATGGATTCCCAACTTTGCCCTCCTGGCTCAGCCCCTCTGTGAAGCAGCCAAAGGCCCTCTCAATGAACCCCTAAGCCCCACACACAACATACTTCCCAGTTTCCGTGGACTCCAAACCACTCTCGTCACTGCACCTGCCCTGTCCTTACCCGACATCTCCCAACCCTGCGTTCTCTATGCCACCGAAAACCAAGGAATAGCTCTCGGGGTCTTAGGGCAACAAAAGGGAAATCCTCCTTCCTTTACCCCTGTGGCATACCTCTCAAAACAAACAACACTGTCAGAGGGTGGCCAACCTGTCTTAGAGCATTAGCAGCAGTGGCCATTTTAGCTCTGGAAAGTAAAAAACTAACATTCAGCCAAAGCACCACTGTCCACAGCTCTCACAACTTACAGGATCTCTTCTCCTCCCGGGTGTTAAGCTCCCTCTCTCCTTCCGGAATTCAGTCACTGTATGCCCTCTTTATTGAAAATCCTGAATTCAGCCTCACCAAAAGCGCACCCCTCAACCCAGCATCCCTACTCCCCATATCCTCTTCCCCTCCTACTCATTCTTGCACTGACATTCTGGATCGCCTGCAGCCACACTTCCCTAACATCTCCTCCGAGCCTCTCACTAACCCAGATGACCAACTATTCATAGTTGGCTCATCTTCCGGAGCCCCCGTCTCTCCCAAAATTGCTGGGTATGCAGTAGTTACCTTAAACCATGTAATTGAGGCTAAAACCCGACCCCCAGGAACCTCCTCCCAGAAGGCACAACTCATAGCGCTCACCAGAGCCCTAACCCTCTCCAAAAACAAATGGGTCAACATATACACAGACTCTAAGTATGCCTATCACATTCTTCATTCCCATGCAGCCATCTGGCAAGAGAAAGGATTCCTTACCGCCAAAAGAACCCCCATTACTAACGGCCCCCCTTATTTACCAACTCCTTCAGGCCGCACACCTCCCAACTGAAGCAAGAGTCATACACTGTCGAGAACATCAAGCAGGATCAGATGAAATCTCAAAAGGAAATAGAAAGACCGACGAGGCAGCAAAACAGGACTCCCTTTCTCCTCTCCCTGCCCCCATCCTCCTTGTCACCCCAGCAGTCCCGCCCAGATACCCTCCCACTGAAAAGTCTTCACTACTACAGCAAGGAGCCTCCCTTCAAGGGGACTGGATAATCAAAAATCAAAAGCCTGTTCTTCCCCAAGAGCAAAGCAAGGAAATTCTAACACCTCTTCACCAACCCTTCCATATCAGTGCATGCCCCCATACCTACTCCTTCGCCCTTGTTTCTCCTCCCCCCATCTATTCATCTCACTAAAGGACATAACCTCAAACTGTCGTATATGCTCTGTTACTTCCTCCCAAGGGGCCCTCTGCCCTCTCCTCATCCTTACATACCAGCTCAGAGGAACACTCCCAGGGGAGCACTGGCAAGTAAACTTCACCCACATGCCTCCCGTCAAAAAATCTAAATATCTTCTTACCCTCGTAGACACTTTTTCAGGTTGAGTAGAAGCATTTCCTACCCCTTCAGAAAAAGCTGCAGAAGTCTCTCAAATTCTCATATCAGAAATTATCCCTAGATTTGGTCTCCCGAGCCCCATACAATCAGACAATGGGCCTAGCTTCATCTCCCAAATTACCCAACAGGTCTCCCCATCCCTTGGCGTTCAGTGGCGCCTCCATATCCCATATCAGCCCCAGTCATCTGGAGAAGTCGAGAGGGCAAACGGAATTCTCACAACTCAGTTAACCAAACTCACACTTGAGATCAAAAAACCTTGGACCTCCTTTTTACCCATAGCGCTGGCTCACATCAGAGCCAGTCCAAAAGCCCCCTCCTTCCTCAGTCCATTTGAGTTAATGTACGGACGCCCTTTCCTCTTACAAAACAGACTCCCTCCTAACTCTCAATTAGGAGAGTACCTCCCAACACTCTCCCTCATCCGTCATCCCCTCCACGAACAAGCAGACCAGGCCCTCCCAAAATCCCACCAAGGCCCCACCGACCAGGCACTCCTTCCTGGAGAATATGTGTTCCTAAAAACCCTTACTTCAACGAGTCTCAAACTGAAGTGGGAAGGCCCTTTCCAAGTCCTTCTCACTACCCCCACCACAGCCAAACTTTCAGGACACAACTCTTGGTACCATCTTTCCAGGTTAAAAAGAGCCCCTGCCGCTGACCCGCCACTGACTAACCAACCAGCTGTTTCCTATAAATACTCCAGCACTCTTCTTGGAAAAACTCAACTCCACCTAATGCCCATCCCAGAAGACCCCACTCTTCCCCAGTGAACCATAACAGACAAGTTATCACCCCTTACCATTAAGTATCCAAACGCTTATTAATGGAAATCATCTATTACGCTGCCCTTGCAGGAATCACCCTACTTACTCTACTCTTTGCCATATGACTATATACCGTCTCACCTCCTGGGTGGAGTTTCAAACAAAAAATTTTCATATCTGTAACATTTTGCCTCACAATCCTCCTTATAGCAGGTATAATAACCACCACCAAGAGTTGCCCCTCCTAAATGTCCTGTCTTTGCCCGTCCTGCCGTTTCACCCTCTTCCTTCACTGCATCACAGAATTTCATGGTCCTACCCAGAACATCCCACCCTCACGGCACTTGACTGGATCACCGATCTTATATTTCAAGGGGATTTACAGGAATTCACTCCAGATGAAGCCGAATTCTTTACCTTTACACTTGCTCTCTGTCTATTTACTCCTCCTCCTTCTCACTACCGCTCCCACCTTCAGCGCGCCATTCAACAGGCACATAGGATACTCAATCAGACTAACCCCTCTCTGGCCAAGGCCTGCTGGTTCTGTGTACACCCCTCAGAAACCATATCAAAGGATGCCTTCCCAGTTCCCCTCAAAGACTGGGTCCTCATCAGTATAACCCTCCACCCCCGCTACCAAAGTTTCGGAGGAGTAAATGCACTCAAAAGTTACAAACTCAATCTTACCACACATACTTCAGAACGCAAGGTTATCTTAAGAGCACTTACTTCAGACTCAAAACTCAGCCAACAAGCATTCCTATGCATAAAATGTGAACTTTCCTCAGGAGTCCCCCCTAGGCACCCTCTCCTCTAGCTTATGCAACTATATCCTGACACTCACTCCCCCGACAGGCATCCAAACAGTAACAGTAACAAACCCCACACAAACTCTCAAAATCTCCAACCCCCCTCAGGCCCAAGTCACAGGAGAAACATCAGGATTCTGCAATAACCGACATAGGCCCTGCATAGAAATCGCAGGGTGGAGCACTTGTCTAGACCCCGTCCCCACTTCCGAATGCGTGGAAATCCCACTGCCTAACACACCCTCAAACAGACTACTTATTGACACAAAATGTTTCTTTCTACACTTAGAAAACTCATCAGTAGGAGCTAGCCAGCTCAACTCAACACACCCCCTTCAACCCCTAACCGGAGTGGCTCTAGCCTCCTCCCTCCACACCTGATGCTCAGAAAACATTTTACATCCCCTTTTTGCCATACATTTCCAATTCTGCCTCCCTAGCCAAGGTGTGTTCTTTCTATGCAGCACCTCCACCTACCTCTGTCTCCCCACCAACTGGACAGGCACCTGTACACTGGTCTTCCTCAGCCCTAAAATAGGCATAGCTCCAGGAGAAAACCTGCCTCTCCAAACCCTAAATACTCAAATCCCACACCACAGGCGCCGGGCCATACAGCTTATCCCACTACTCATAGGCCTGGGCATCACAGCAGCCACAGGCACTGGAGTAGCAGGAATCGCAACCTCCTCTTATTACCATAAAACCTTATCAAAGGACCTTTCAAATGGTGTAGATGACCTTGCAACGTCTATATCCACCTTACAAACTCAGCTAGACTCCCTAGCGGCAGTCGCCTTACAAAATCACAGAGGTCTCCACCTACTCACCGCTGACAAAGGAGGACTCTGCATTTTTCCTAGATGAAGAATGCTGCTTTTATTTTAACCAGTCAGGCTTAGTTTAGAATGCAGTAAAACAAGTTCAAAGATGCACCCAAAAAATCAGGGAAAGCAGCTCCTCTACCTGGCCCTCTTGGCCCTCTTGGTCTCTCAGCACCTGGGCCCCCTGCCTACTCCCTCTCCTTGGACCTGTTATAATTCTTTTTCTCTTCCTCCTAATCTTCAGGCCTTGCTTAATACACTTCTTCACCCAGTTTTTGCAGAATCGTATCTGAGCCTTTGCCCATGGAACCATACAGGATATAATGTTACTCCAGGAGTATCAACAATTTCAAAACTAAAGCCACCCCCTCATTCCAGCCTTTCTCCTAGTCACTGCCCTCTCAGCCTGAAGCAGCCAGACAAAAAATGGCACCCCCTTTCCTATCATCTATTAAAAGGCTGGAATGTTAGGGTCACTCCGACCAGACTGTTTTCCCTCCCTTCCCATGGGTCTTACAATGCAGTCCTTTGTGACCTCCGCACAGCTCCCCCAGGGCTAAAGACAAACCCCTCTTCACTGACCCCTCCAGTAACTGTCCAGGCAGTTACAGGATGCAGTTAACATGTCTGTTCACCTTGCGTAACAAATCTGGCAAAAAACATCTCCAGGATGCGGTCAAGACACCTGCACCCCCGACTCATCTCCCTCACCCCGACTCAGCCCTTCTGCACACCCAGCTCAGTTCCCCAACCCTGACTCAGCCCACCTACTCACCCAACTCAGCTCCCCAACCCTGACCCAGTTCCTCGCCCTATAAAGCCCTGTGGTAGTCTGTAAGCCTGGCTGTCTCCTCGGCTTTGGTCAGGATGTAGCCCGGCAGCACTGACAATAAATCAGCTTGCCTGAACTTGGGTCTATTGGCCTCATTCCTTTCTCAGCTGTCCTTCCCATTATCCCTTACAGTAGGTTGATTCTTTTATTATTATGTAACATCGCTCTTTGTTTCTAGAAGTTTCTTTGCTTGGATAAATTCTACTTTATCTGAAATAAATATGGCTATTCCTTCTTTTATAAAAAATAATTAATGCTTACACAGTATTTTTTTAGTCCTTTGACTGTCAACCTACCTATTTCATTGAAATGAAAATGAGTTACTTGTATATAGCATATAGTTGAGTCATGGTTTGTTTGTGTTTGTTTTGTTTTTTATCCACTGTGCCAATATTTGCCTTACAGTTGGTGTATTTAAACCATTTACATTTAAAGTAGTTGTTATTAGGGCTCAAGTCTTCTGTGTAATTATTCATTTTCTCTTTGTTTCCTCTCCTTGTGCCTCTGGTCCTTTCTTCTTCCTGTGTGTTACATGAACACTTTTAAGGATTCCATCTTGATTTACTTATAGCGTTTTTGAACGTACCTTTTTATGTAATTTTATTAGCAGTTGCTCTGGGTGTGACAATATACAAATGTTACTTATTACAGTCTACTGGCATTGATATTTTACCACTTCAAATTAAGCATGGAATCCTTATTTCTGTTTTAATCCCTTTATCTTTGCCCACTTTTAAACATCATAGTCTTGAATCTCAGATGCTATTGTAATTTTTTGTTCTAATCATTAAATATGATTTTTTGGCCAGGTGCGGTGGCTCACGCCTGTAATCCCAGCACTTTGGGAGGCCGAGATGGGCGGATCACGAGGTCAGGAGATCGAGAACATCCTGGCTAACACGGTGAAACCCCGTCTCTACTAAAAATACAAAATAATTAGCCGGGCGTGGTGGCAGGCGCCTGTAGTCCCAGCTACTCAGGAGGCTGAGGCAGGAGAATGGGGTGAACCTGGGAGGCGGAGCTTGCAGTGAGCCGAGATTGCGCCACTGCACTCCAGCCTGGGCGACAGAGCGAGACTCCGTCTCAAAAAAAAAAAAAAAAAAAAAAAAAAAAAAGGATGTTTTAAATTCCTGAGAAGAGCTAGTCTATTGTCTGTATTCCTGACTTTTACATTGTTCTTTCATCTTTCCCAATGTTTCAAGTTTCCTTCTTTGATCACTGTCATTCAGTTTGAGTCACTTCTTTTCTACTTCCTTTAGGTTTGCAACAAATCCTTTAAATTTACCTTCATCAGAGAATGTCTTTATTTCCCTTGTATTCCTGAAGAAGAGTGTTGTAAGAGATAGAATTCACTGTTGACAGTCCTTCTTTCAGCACTTAAGAAATGTTGTGTCACTTATTGTGGCCTCTGCGGTTTCAGATGAGAAATATGCTATTATTTGAGTTTGTATTTCCCTGTGGTAAATGTGTCGTTATGGTCTGGCTACTTTCAAGATTTGATCCTTCGCTTTCAGAAGTTTAATTACAGTGTGTCAAGACATGGATTCCTTTGGGCTTTCCTATTTTGATTGTTCAACTTCTTAAAGAAGTAGGTCTATGTATTTTAGCAAATTTGGGGAGGTTTCAGCTTTTTCTTTTTTTTTTTCAAATACCCTTTCAATACCACTCATCTTCTGCTCTCCTTTTGGGAATCCAAGGATACGAATTTTTGATCTTTTGTTATTGTCCTACAGCTCCTTGAAGATCTGTTCATTTTTTTTTCAGGATATTTTCTCTCTGTTTTTCAGATTAGGTAAATTCTATTCATCTATTTTGAAGTTCTTTGATTCTATCCTCTGTCATCTCCATTCTATTATTGAGCTCATCCAGTGAGTTTTTATTTCTGTTATTATATTTTTCAGTTCTATAATTCCCATTGGTACTTTTTAAATAACTTCAGTTTCTTTGGTGATATTTTCTATTTTTGTTTCAAGAATTCATAATTGTTCATTAAAGCATTTTTATAATAACTGCCTTAAAGTCTTTATCAGATAATTCCAGTATCTGATTCACCTCTGTGTCAGTGATTATCTTGTTTTCATTAAAGTTGTGATTTTCCTGATTCTTGATATAACTATTACTTTTCAGTTGTATCCAGAATAATTCCTTTTAACCAAATGAGTGTGAGCAAATCTGCAATGAGTAATCTGCCAAGGTTATTATTTATTCTGTTTTCAACCTGGACATTTTGTATTTTGACTATTTGGAGACTCTAAGTCTTATTTAAATATTTTATTTTAGTAGTCAGCCACCCTGCTTAGGTTTGGTACGTGGGTCCTGGCCTGACTTTTGTACACGATGATTCTGATGACAGTTTAATTTTCTGGGCCTTTGTGATGCTAGATTCATCTGTTTGGTTTATCTAGTACCATGGGGGCTCCCAGTGTGATAACCAAAAATGTCTCTAGACATTACTAAAAGTTTCCTGGGGGAGAAAATCACCTCCAGTTGAGGATCATTGCTCTCAAAACCAGAAAAATTCAGTGTCCCCAGTGTGAGACACGGCACGATCCTATGAGGCGAAGCAGATGGAAACTCTTCTAAAGCCTTATAGAAGCACTTTATGGCCTTCTCCAGTGTTTTTCTGAAGCAACTCCTTTCCCTGGGAAGAGGAAAAGGCTTTATTTGCTTCTTTCTATATCTGCCCACACTTGCCCTCATGGAAGATGTCAATGATGGCTCCTATGATAGACCAGGATTTGATTTCCTGTACAACACAGCTCAAAGATTAATTTAGCCCTTCACGGACAAGTCGTCTTTATTAAGGCATTCAATTTCAAAGTGAAATCCTTTCAGAATTACACATGAATGTGTACATACTTACATTCTGCTTTAAAACATGCTGTCAGGCCGGGCACGGTGGCTGACGCCTGTAATCCCAGCACTTTGGGAGGCTGAGGCAGGCGGATCACAACGTCAGGAGTTCGAGACCAGGCTGGCCAACACGGTGAAACCCCGTCTCTACTAAAAATAGAAAAATTAGCTGGGCATGGTGGCAGGTGCCTGTAGTCCCAGCTACTCAGGAGGCTGAGGCATAAGAATCGCTTGAACTTGGGAAGCAGAGGTGGCAGTGAGCCAAGATTGCACCACTGCACTCCAGCCTGGGCGACAGAGTGAGACTCTGTCTAAAAAACAACAAACAAACAAAAACACAAAACACGCTGTCAAAGATCATTATCTTTTTTGGTTGTTAGTTGATTTTTTTTTTTCTACATTGCTGAAATGACATCACATGACCTTTCAAAAGTTTTTGCTTTTCTGCCTGGAAGCACAGGGCAGTGTTTCATAAAAGCAAGAAAAATGTTGCTGTGCTTTTTAAAATCTCCTTATCTTGAAAAAAAAAAAAAGCTGCCAGATTGCTCAGAGTTCCTCACACTCATTTGGTTAAAAGGAGCTATTTTGGTTAATCGTTTACTGCCCTGCGGATAGAAAGCCATCCTCAAACTGTGTGAAAATAAAACGAAACTTCATAGAACACTTGTTTACAAAACGGCTGAAGTTGAAGGTCACACCCATCGGCCTCCGTGGTATTTTCTCCTTGCTAAACAAGTCTGCATTATTGCAGATTAATAAATCATCTGGGATCGCTTCACATTATCTAGTTGGTTGAGGTTCATGGACACTAAGCATTTTCCACCAATCTCCTCTAGAATGCTCATGGTGTTTTAGGCCACTCAGCATGAGTCCAGTTTGTTTTGTGGGTGCCCAAAATAAATCACACACCAGTGTAAAATAAAATTAGCTTCTCTCTCTTATTTTCAAAGAAAGATTTCTTTGAACCCTGGCCTGCTGAGTATAATAATGTTTTGTAGACATGAGCTCCGTGGACAGAAGTACAGCTGATTATCAGCTGGTTAGAGCAACTGTCTCCTGACCCTAGACTCCAGTACCTGTTCCCTTGTATACTTTGGTTGAACGATGTCGAAATTTCTTTCCACCATGTTTTGCCCTTTCTCTTCCTGTGTTTACCTTCTAACATTCAGAGGGAGTGATGTCAAAATGATTTGGAAAAGGTCTACGTAGGTCATAGATGGAGTGTAGCCATTTATCTTCAAGGCTATCCTCAAACCATGAGGCTGCTTTCTCAATGAACTTGCTTGAAGTGCTGGGGAGGTAGCTTTTTTTTTTTTTCTGTTCTGGAGAGCAATAATTACTGCACTGCATCCAGTAACCTCATTTCAGGGATTCATTGCATGACAATACCCTTCCCACCACTTTGGTAACAGAAAACAGTTTTTATGTAGTCCTTGGCCCTTGAATAGGGCAAATGTGACAATCCCTGTTTTCATCCATCTGGCTGTAACTTTCAAAATGAGCACTGGATCAGGAGCAAAAAGAGAACACAGAGTCCAGAAGCCATCAGGCTACGTGGCCAAGTAGGAGAGTCTAACCTGCAGCCTGGGATCTTGCTGTTCAAGGGTCTGTTGTCTACCACTAGCGTCATCCTTAGGATGCCATGAATGAGAGGATGCCTGAGGAAACGTCTGACAGCTACCAGTTGACTTGAGGGGCTCTCGAATCGTTTTCTGTTATAATTTCATGAGGCTGCTGGCCTGCAGTGAAATGCTGGCTTCTGAAGAAGTGTGAATTCCAAAGCTAATCAAGGCAAAAGATTTACACATGGTGGCCGAGAGTGTGAGTCCTAAGTCCTAAGTTACCTACCTCAAATCCTGGCTTCAGCCGGGCATGGTGGCTCATGCCTATAATCCTAGCACTTTGGGAGGCCGAGGCAGGTGGATTGCCTGAGCTCAGGAGTTTGAGACCAGCCTGGGCAACACGGCGAAACCCCGTTTCTATTAAAATACAAAAGAAATTAGCTGGGAGTGGCGGCTGGCACCTATAGTCCCAGGTACTCAGGAGGCTGAGGCAGGAGAATTGCTTGAACCCGGGAGGTGGAGGTTGCAGTGAGCCGAGATCACGCCACTGCATTCCAGCCTGGGTGACAGAGCGACTCCATCTCTACAAAACAAACAAACAAACAAACAAACAAACAAACCCTGGCTTCACTTGTTCCCAACCGTGTGGCCATGGGCATGTTCATGAAACTTTCTGTGTCTCAGTTTCCTCAACTACGAAATGAGGATGATGATAATAATACACAACTTACAGCATTGCTGTGTGGATTGGAGGAGACAGTGCTCGTGGAGTACTAAAGACAGAAGCTCTGAGGTCATAAGCGCTCAGTAAGCATTAGGTTTTAGGATCGGAAGCACCTGGAGAATGTCTGTCCTCACAGCCACAACCTGGCCAGAATGCCCATGTGGCCCACAACAAGTACACCATTGCTAGAAAATGTGTTTGCCGGAACAACTTCTGCAGTGTTTCTTCAGCATGGCCGAGGTGCTAAATCTATCACTAGGCTTTCAATTGCTAGCAGCCGGAATTCTTTCCAGAAAACATTTGGTGAGAACAATTTCCAAACATATTTCACAGTTGTCTTAAGGCCAACATTAGCTTTTAAACTGAAGAAAAGTCTTCACTCTTGACCTGGGGCTTTCCATTAAGACTGTAACAACTCAGAATTTCCCACTGGCCCCTGCAATTTCTTAGGAATTGAAAAGAGCGACTGCAGTTGACCTAAAGTCGCAAGTTGGTGAATTATCATTACCTGTCTCTTTGAGGCAGGGTGGTGGAGAGAGAAGGAATGTGTGTGTGTAATTAGTAAACATCAGCCCATTTTAAATTATTGTAACATATTATTTTATTTTTTAATAACAAATATACCATCTATATAAATAAAAATAAGTACTAATGTTTATTAGGCCTGTCAATATGGCTTAAGTATGTGCACGCACTTTACACACATTCTCTCACTTTTTGTTTCCTACAACCCTCTAAAGCAAGGGTTATTGTGCTATATTATAATCAAGGAAGCCACATCTGAGGATATGAGTGTTTAAATAACTGGTCCAAGGACGCACAGTGGATAAACAGCAGAACTGGGACTTAAGGCCATGGCTGTCTGACTCAAAAATCCATTATCATATGGGGACTCTCTGTACTATCTTTGCAACTGTTCTATAAATCTAAAATTATTCCAAAATAAAAAGGTCATTTAAAAAAATAAAATTTATTGCCGAAATGGCTCTACTGTGCTATTTCTCTAAATGACTTATAAAAGGATTTTGCTTTGTTTATATACTGCATTTCTGAGAAATCTTGAAAAATAGAATGCTGTATTTTCACTTGAGGATCCCTCTAGCAACTCTATTCCCAGAGTATTGTCTTGTACTTCTTCATGTAAAGCACTTAGAATAGAGCTTGACACCTGGAAAGCGCCCAATAAATGTTACTTATTATCATCATCACCACCATCACTATCACCATCATCATTATCATTGCTATCTTCATAAATCGTCATTGGCTACATTAAATCTTATATTTTTTAAAATTAGTAAATACGTTAGAGTCCCCACTAGACTGTGAATGACTGAAGAGCAAGGACAGAATTCTGCAGGTCTTCAATAACATGTTATGAAACAGATAAACCCCTATGCTCACAATTACATCCTTCAGCACTGAATCTTTAAACAGACAAGCAGTTTGTCTCCGTCTCTGTTTCTAATTTGCCTTTGCCCTGGGGGAGGAGAGATGTTGCCAAACATCTCCCTATGACTGTGACCACTTTGTAGTTCCCATCCAACTTTATAGCCCATTGTTTGGGTGAGGGATGAAATGGACTTAAAAGCTGTTCATTCCAAAGGTGGTTTTCCTTGTGCCTGAGCTCCTTTAGCTCTAACTCAGTTTGACTCAATTTGATCCTCTCTGCTATGCTGCATGTCAAGGAAAAAAAATCTATAAATGGGAACAAAATTAGTGTGACCCTCATGCCTCATGCCCAGTTTAAAAGAGCCAAATTATCTTTTCTTGCTGTCATGTTAAATATTTCTCCTGCCATGTCCCCAATTTCCACTAAATGCCAACAACGGTTTATAAATTCCTGGGCTCTAAGAAGATGAGGACATAGTCCCAGAAGCCTGATGCATCAGGATATGCAAACTCTAAAAGACAAAAGTTTTCACTGCGGCTTTGCTGACCCAGTACGCTCTGTGCATTCACTGAGGTGCCAGCCACATCACATGAGATTGCTTAACACTTGACCAGGGCACTGTTTTAAAGGATGTTAGTTCTAGGCGATTACCAGAAATACCCTCTAGCTCAGCACTATCCAACAGAACCGTCTGCAATGATGGAAATTTCTGTCTCTCCGTTGTCCCATGAGGTGCTCACGTGTAGTCATGGAGCCCTTGAAATGTGGCTAATGCAACAGAGAAACTAAAGTTTTAATTTTATTCTATTTTAAAATTTGGAGACTTAAACAGCCCCATGGGGCTAGTGGCTACCTCAACCATCCCGGTTTACCCAGGATAGAGGGGTTCCTTGGAATGTGAGAGTTTTAGCACTAAAAGCGGAACTGTTCTGGGCAAACTAAGACATTTGATCACCCTAAACTGGATCCCTTTTCAAAATACATTTGGCATTTTTGGAAGCATGAAATAGACATGTAGCAGCTACACTGTAGATTCAAAAGGAAATGAAGAGATAGGTAAATAACTGAGCTTTCCTTCCCAAGCAAAGTACAAATAAATGTTTTCTAAAAATTATTGAATTGGTGAGACCACAGGGTTGACCCTTACAAGTGAAGTAGTCTATGTAAAATCTCAGTAAAAAGCCGAGCCGTGCCGGGCAAGGTGGCTCACGCCTGTAATCCCAACACTTTGGGAGGCTGAGGCGGGTGGATTACCCGAGGCCAGGAGTTCAAGACAAGCCTGGCTGACATGGCAAAACCCCGTCTCTATTAAAAAAATACAAAAAATTAGCTGGGAGTGGTGGTGGGCACCTGTAATCCCAGCTACTCGGGAGTCTGAGGCAGGAGAATTGCCTGAACCCGGGAGGCGGATGCTGCAGTGAGCCAAGATAGCACCACTGCACTCCAGCCTGGGCAACAAGAGCAAAACTCTGTCTCATAAGATGTAAAACAGTTCCCTCAGCCACAGTTCCCTGGGCCCAGTTATAGCCAAACTTTCCCCAGGCCCTGTCCCTGGCAACTACTGATCTGTTTTCTATCCCCATAGTTTTTATTTTTTATTATGAATTTTTTTATTTTAGAGATGGGGTCTCACTCTCTTATCCAGGCTGGAATTCAGTTGTACGATCACAGCTCACTGCAGCCTCAAACTCCTGGGCTCAAGCAATTCTCCTGCTTTGGCCAACTGAGTAGCTGGAACTACAGGCTTGTGCCAACATGCCCAGCTAATTTAAAAAACCAAAAAACAAACAAACAAAAAAAAAACTTTTTTGTAGATTTGGGGTCTCACCGTTACCATCTTGCCCAGGATGATCTCCAACTCCTGGCCTCAAGTGAGCTTCCCACCTTGGCCTCCCAAAGTGTGGGGATTACAGGCATGAGCCACCTCCCCTGTCCCTGTCCCTATAGTTTTAACTTTCCCAAAATATATAAATGGAAACATAAAGTATGAAGGTTTTGAGTTTAGCTTCTTTCATTTAGCATAAGACAATTGATACATGTCCATGATGCTCTATACATCAATAGTCATTTCCTTTTTATTGCTAAATAACACTTCACTGATGGATGTACCACATATTAGTTATGCTCTGATTTAGGTACATCTGGGTTTTTTTCCAATTTTTCTCATTTATGAACAAAGCTGCTATAAACATAGATTTTCTCTTTTAAAAAATTGTTTTGGGGACAGGGACTGGTCTCACTATGTTGCTCAGGCTGATCCAGAACTCCTGGACTCAAGCAATTCTCCCACCTCAGCCTCCTGAGTAGTTGGGACTACAGGTACACACCAGCATCCCCAGCTATAAATTTTCATTTCTCTTGGGTAAATACCTAGGAGTGGGATTTCTGGGTTTTATGATAAATGTTTAAATTTATTTGAGACTGCCAAATTGTTTCCCAAAGAGACTGTATTGTTCTGTATGGCTACTACATTATATGAGCATTCCAGTCACTTTGCATTCTTGCCAGAACTTGGGTTTGTTGGTTTTTGTGTTTTTTTTTTAAGCTATTCTAATAGATGTGTAGTGGTATTACACTTTGGTTTTAATTTGCATTTCCCTAATGACTAATCATGTTTAACATTTTAGCAGCCGGGTGCAGTGGCTTATGCCTGTAATCCTAGCACTTTAGGAGGTTAAGCCAGGTGGATCACTTGAGCCCAAGAATTTAAGACCAGCTTGGGCAACATAGTGAGACCCCATCTCTCAAAAAAAAATTAAAAATTAACTGGGCATGGTGGTATGCACCTGTAGTCCCAGCTACTCAGAAGGCTGAGGTGAGAGGATGGCTGAAGCTGCGGAGGTCGAGGCTGCAGTGAGCTGAGATTGCACTGCTACACTCCAGCCTGAAAAACAGAGTGAGACCCTGTCTCAAGAAAAGAAAAAAATATTTTTCGCATGTATTTATTTGCCATCCATATATCATCTTTGTGGAAGTGTCCATTCAAATACATTTTTTTTTTCAGACAGGTTTTCACTCTGCTGCCCAGGCTGAGTGCAGTGGGGGCGATTACCAGGTTGTTACTGGAAAGGGGTCCCAATCCAGGCCCTAAGACAGCGTTCTTGGATCTCGCACAATACACACACACACACACACACACACACACACACACGCACACACATATATATACACACACACATATATATACATATATACTATATATACATATATATGCTATATATACATATATACTATATATACATATATATGCTATATATACATATATACTATATATACATATACATACATACATATATATGTATGTGTGTATATATATATGAATGCCAAAAAACACACATATCAGTGTGGAAAAATAACCCGACTTTGTTGGATTTAATGTTCATGCACTAGAGAACAACATTATTTCCATTTACTCAGAAAGTTCTTCTGTGGGGGGTTAAGAAAGTGAATGTCGCAGACATGTTCTGCTGTGTTGCACTATCCTGTGTGTATATGTATTTTTAGATTAATACAAGTCATGTGCTCTATTCCTTATGTAATTTATAAAGTTACACAAAATATAAAGAGGAATAAACTTCTCTGAAACTTTTTGGGGAAGGAAGGTAACCTAAATGTAATAGTGTCCTTTAAATGTACATGAAAATGTGCGTTCTATAATGAAATGGATTCATTCTACTACAGTAATGCATTCTATAATAAACTTGTCCTCACACTACCTGCAGAACCCACCAGTAACTGACTTGACTGCATTTTGAATCCCACTGGAGAAGGAAAGGTGATTGGGTGACCACTGAAAAATCATAACTGTCTTGAATTCCTGATCCCAGCCAAGGGTGTGGTTAAGAACCACTAGAAGTTTCTTACTGGATATAATTATCCTGGTAAAAGCTTCTCTGCCTCATAGCTCATCTACCTGCCAACCAGAGAGCCCAAAATTCACCACCGAAGATGGATTCCTTCAGACTAAGCCTCATTTTCTATTAAAACACAGATATCTTCTAAGATTGGTCATGTATGACCATATATTAGCACCATATTGTAATTAACTTTTTTACCTTTCAAATCGATCTCCACTATCAAAGTCCTGAATACTTTTGACTATGCACCCTTATCAGTAAAAAATTTCGAGCTGTGTCCCCTATATTTATATATTTATTGGTAATTACTGACAATCCATACATTAATAAGGCATATTTATTTGAAGAAGAATCCCACTGTTACTTTTTATTTTGCTTCATTTTGCTGTTCTCATGGTTCATTTGACTTAGGTCAGCATCCACATTAAAGTATATATGTATGTCAATACTACTGGTTACCCAAACCAGAACGGCTCTGCAAGTAATGATGGCTTGGATGTCTTTGAGTCACTGAGGAGAGTTAAAAACCATTCCACTTTCAGCAGTCTAGCATTTGTTACTCGGATTTTTCTTTCACCTATTCTGTTGCTTCCCATTTAATCACATTTTTGAGCATTTCTTTTTCTTGTCATTGGGCTGTTGGAGGATGGTGGTAGAGACTACAGCCCAGTTGCTGAGATAAATATGAGCCTGAAGTCAAGGCCTTGGGTCCAGTTCCTTTACAAATCAATTTATTTGCAATCTTCTGGAAGTGGTTACCAAACATTATTGTGCAGAAGAATTACTTAGAGAACTTGTTAAAAAAAAAAACAGGATTCTTAGCCAGGTGCGGTGGCTCACACCTATAATCCCAGCACTTTGGAGACCGAGGCAGGAGGATCACTTGAGGATGGGAGTTTAAGACCAGCCTGAGCAATATAGTGAGATCCCATCTTTGCAAAAAAAAAAAAAAAAAATTAATTTTTAAAATTAGCCGAGCATGGTGGTACATACCTGGAGTCCCAGCTACTCAGAAGGCTGAGGTAAGATCACTTGAGCCCAGGAGCTTGAAACTGCAGTGAGCTGAGATAACACCACAGCACTCCAGCCTGGGTGAAAGAGCAAGACTCTGTCTCAACAATAACAACAACAAGAAAAAACACAAAATGAGATTTCTGATCCCTCCCCAAGAGATTCTGATTTAATAGGTCTGCGGAGGGGACAATAATCACCATTTGTAATAAGACCCCTCCCCCACAGCACCACCCACACAGGCCGTCTGGGGTCAGGCTGTGCTTATACCCCAGGAAATATTGGAGGCATGAGAATGGTGGTTGCCAAAGCAACCTTGGCATTGGGTGAAATAGTCCAGACTTTATTACATGGTGACCATGCTCAAAAGCTTGACCTTTGTCACAGAATTGGTAGGGATAGGGCAATGGAAGGAGGGTGTGTGGGTGCGGGAGTGGGTGTGTGCAAACATGAGGCCGGGTTTCTACCAAAGGTGCTAAACAGAATTGGTTTTCCTTTTGTCTCTCTCAAAGTGGAAGTTTGTTTTGAATGCACATATTTTAATAAATTAAATGACACTTTATAAATTACACCTTTTCAATCTTACACCTCCAAAGAATTATTTCTAAATTCGTGTCTTGTTAACAAATGTGCCATTTGTGCCCCCTCAAAAAAGAATGTTTTAAAATGGACATCTTGGTTCCTGGTTCACAATGAGATTTAGGTCAAGTGTGAATTATGATCACAAGGTAAACATATTACTGTGGCACCGAAAGAATGTAGGGATCACAAGACAGACTTCCAGGTGTACATTTTGCTACTTGCTACAGATGAGTTACTTAATTTGGGTTGTGGGGAGGAGTTGGATAATTTATTTACTAAAAAGCTCTTAAGACCCCAAATCTGTAAGCCTATTCCTCAGATCCTAAACATACCCAGATCTGTCTGTATCCCAGTGTGAACACACAATACACCTTCTCCTAAAAGTGAGACCCCAGATCTACTGATAGATAAAGTGAATGACAGTTATTGCTGAAGTAGAAATAAAATCATATTTCAAATACAGTTTCTTCATAAAGTCCTATGGCAATTTTTACCCTTTCTGCATTTTTCTTTGAGGCCTAACCTTGAGAAATCAATAAGCATAATTGGTTAGAAAATTGAATTTCTTTCTCTTTGCTTACAGGAATTAATTTGGCAAGCCATAGTTAATTTAGTGAGCATGTTTGCACTAACCATATTTTATATGTCTAACACATGGTATACAATTGTGCTCTGTGATCATTGTGAAATGATGCCTGCGGCCTGTGTTACGAAAGTTCAGAGCTGCAGCAAAGCTTTAGGGAGACTCACACGATGTGAGCGGGGGGCAGTTCTAGCTTCCTGATTCCGTGAAGGGCATACCCTCAAGTGTAAATCTATTATTTGCTGCCGGTTGAAATCTTGTTAGTCCTCAGGGAACAGTTTTCTGGAGATCATTCTAAATCAAATCCATGGGATTTCTAGCCCAGGATCCCTGAGATTTGTCAGTTTGGTTCAATAGGAAGACCTAACAGCTAGGACATTCCAAAAAATCATGATATAGATGGTTTACTTTCAGTGCCTTGACCTACTGTCATGGACCGCTCTGCCACTTCGCCCTGCTGTCTCCTTCCTTCTGGGGCTTCCATGTACCCCCAGGAAAACTCATTTTCCCCTTTCTTGTGTCTTGGGATGGTTTTCAGTGTTTGTCAGTGTGAAAGGAAAATAAATCTCAGGAGCCCACAATGAGTAAGCCAAAGGGAAGTCAAGCTGGGACCTTCCTCCCACTTCGTCCTAAATAAGATAGCTACAATGAGATAACTGCTTCATGATTCGCTAACAAGAAAATTCCTTGTGGACAAAGGACAGACGGACCTCAAAGTCATCCCTCTGCCCAAGTGAGACAAATGCATATCTGATGGCTTCCTTTGCCCTGTTGTTTCCAAACTAAGGCATAGTGATTATTCCTCTCTTCTCCTCTCACAGGTAAATTGTGTATTCAGTGAAAGGCTAATCAGAGACTCAAAAGAATGCAACCATTTGTCTTTTAGCTACCTATGCCCTGGAAGCCCCCTCCCCTGCTTCAACTTGTCCCGCCCTTCCGGACCAAACCGATGTACACCTTACACATATTGATTGATGTTTCATGTCTCCCCAAAATGTATAAAACCAGGCGTGGGTGCCCTGACTACCTTGGGAACATGTCAGGACCTCCTGAGGCTGTGTCAAGGGTGCATCCTTAAACTTGGCAAAATAAACTTTCTGAACGGATTGAGATCTGTCTCAGATACGTTTGGGTTCACACTAGGTGCCTGTGGGCTGATTTCATCCCTGGCAAGTGAAGAGGAGCTGTGGCGAGGGTAGCAGAGGGTTGTCAGGCTTTGCTGAGTGGCAGGGGGAGCAGCCAATAGTGTGGGGATATGGGGGCGGGGGAGGTGTCCTCTCCCCTCCTCCATGACTCCCTGCTGGATCACGCCACCAAAAGACTAGGCACCACCACATGTGTAAATACCTGAGATGCTGGGAAACCATGCAGGCTGGGCTGTGCTAAAACCCTTCGTTTTATTCTGTATCAGGGTAAAGATTGTAAAGAAAAAACTCCCTGATTGTAAAGAAAAAACTCAATTACAATTGGACCCCTAGGCTTCTAAAGGAAAATAGGTGAGAGAGAGAAAGGGGCGTTTTCTAAACTTCATGGCATTCAATGTTCCACAGCTGTGGAAGATTGCAAATGACCTCTGCCTGGGGCTGCCGCTGCTCATCTGGATAGGTGAGTCGGGCGTAGCCAGGCGTGGGTGTGTGCACCAAGGCAGCACAGGGCAGGACAAAGCCCGGCTTGCTCTCATCTGCGTCTCATTGGATTTGCATTATCTAGGTCTTCAGAGGGAGATCCCTCAGCCTCTGAGTCTGCAATGCTATCTGTATCTTACCAGTGGCCTGCAGTAGCAGGAGCCCCATATTGGGTGGTGAATCTACCAGTGACTTCAGTGGTTGGAAACTTGGGAAAGTTTAGGCTACATTAGAGAAGGAGTGGTTCACAGGCAAGCCACTGGCAGGGGTTAAGAGATGAGAAGCACCTGCCAATGATTTGGAAAACACAACTTGCTGGCACCTGCCTGTTCGGCAGTTTCTTTCTGCAGGTTGTGAGCCCCTTTTGTCATTGTCAGGGCCTAAGGGTCCAGGAATCACTGTCTACCTTAGGAGTTTGTTAATAAATCGCCACGGTGAGTTGGGTAATGTTTGAGAGCAAAATGAAATAAAATGTCCTATATGTGTTTAAGCTATAGAAAACTAGGAATGGAAGAAAAAAAAGGCTTTCTGCTCTTGGATCCCAATTTACCTAGTGGGCAGGAAGCCTCCCCAGCACCCCTTCCTCATTTCTGACCAAAGCAGTTAATGGCATTAAATGTCTTCATGTGATCTCACGCTAGAACTGTATTGGAGCAGACATCTGGCAACAATTTATTGGCGCACAGGATAAATTTTCAGAAAACCAAGTTGCAGTTCTGAGAAACTTCACAAATCCACCTTCCTGCCCACCCACTTCAAAGCCCCTCACCCTCTCGGCAACTGTTCACCCTCCCACACTGGCACCTCAGACGCCTGCAATAACCTCCGACGAACTTGTCGGACAGCCCTAATCTCCTAACAAGGGAAATGCAAAGAGCTCAAGACAGAGATCAACACTCTGGACGGGGATTTCCAGGCCCAGATCAGCACCCTGCTGAGACATGCTGTCTGGAAAATCAGAAATGTGATGTGGGAGTGCACAGCCCCGCGGCCCCCTCACCTGGCCATGCAACCGCCTCTCCATCCAAGCCAGTGGTCAGGCAGGGAGGAAGGACACTCACCTGTAAGCTATTTAGACGTGGCCTCACCTTGTGGGGTTTCCACAGAATGGATGTCTTCCAGAGTATCTCATCATCATGACTGGCGATGATGAGGAGCTAAGGATCTCCCTCTCGGGTGGGTGGGAACTCACTTCGCAAGAATGGTGGCTCTGGTTTGGAGACTCTCTGGGCTGGTTGGCTGCTGGGAAGGCTGTCAAAGGTGAGCAGGCAGCATCATACCTGACCAATGAATGGCAACAGCCAGGACTGCTGGGAAGTGTGGGTGCAATTGCTGGCAAGAGCCACCTTTTTTTTCTGGTGAGTGGGCGTTCAGAGGCAACTTCCCCTGGAGCTGGCATCCTCTGTCTGGAGTAGGGAATTGGACTGCGCAGGAATTGGGGAGTGGAGGGAGGTTGTGTGTGTGTGTATTTGTGCACATGTGTGACTGCAAGTGTGTACAAATGCAATACCACGTTTCTATCTATAAGGCTTAGAAAAAGCCATCCTTTAATGAAACCTCTATTTTACAAGAGGCTGCGAGAGCTTTGGGATTTTCTTCCATGAAGTAACATGATTTCGCAGTGGATTTCAAACATGTTTTAAAGCACCAGAAACCTCTCTTTTTTTTCCTGCCCAAACACAATCATATTCAAAAGTCACAGATTAGAAAAGAGATCGAAGCAGGGTTGCCCTAATTAAAGTGTGTGCTGGCCCCAGAGACCCAAACCCTCTGTTGGTCCTCCTCTCTATGGCCAGAAAGGCCCCAAATGGACTCATGGAGGCCCTAAGGACCCCAGAGCAAAATGTACCAAACTGGTGAGTGAGTAGGATAAGTTCTGGCTTTCAAGTCAGACAGACCTGAGTTTGGGTCCTGACTCTGCCACTTGTGAGCAGTGAGGTCTTTGTCCACTCATTAACATATCTGCTTCTCAGTTTCCTCATCTATACAATAGAAATAATAACCCTTACATTGCAAGGTATCTTCAAGAACAGGAGACAAATACACATAAGGCATGTGTTACTAAATCCCCATACCTATGAGCCGTGGCTGGCACATAGAGTCTTCACACAATGTATTGTTGCTATATGACATAGTTTGGATGTGTGTCCCTGCCTAAATCTCATGTTGAAATGTGATGCGCAATATTGGCTGTGGGGCCTGGTGGGAGGTGACTGGATCATGGGGGTGGATTTCTCATGAATGGCTTAGCGCCCTCCCCTTGGTACTGCCTCGCAATCGTAACTGAGTTCTTGTGAGATCTGGTCATTTAAACGTGTGTGGCAGTTTCCTTCTCTTGCCTCTCCTTTGGCCTGCTTGCACTTCTCCTTCCACCATGATTGTAAGCTTCCAGAGGCCTCCCCGAAGCCAGGTGACGTCAGCATCATTCTTGTGTAGCCTGCAGAACCATAAGCCAATTAAACATCGTTTCTTTATAAATTACCCAGCCTCAGGTATTTCTTTATAGCAGTGCAAGAACGACCCAACACACTATGGTTAGTTCAAGGAAGCTTTGGATATGAGCTGTCTATTGATAGCCAGGAGAGAAAACAAATGACAGTGAGGAGACTTCCCTTAGCTCAAAACTTTTATGCCTGTTACTATCCTGTTTGGTATTCTTTTCCCAATGGCACCTAAGTGCTTTGTTTAGTATGTTCTCTTTAAAAACAGGACAATCAAGACAGTAAATACATAACCTACAGAATGAGAGAGGATATTTATAAATCTCATGTCTGGTAAGGTTCCAGTATCCAGAATATACAAAAAGAACTCGGCCGGGTGAGGTGGCCCACACCTGTAATCCCAGCACTTTGGGAGGCCGAGGTGGGCGGATCACGAGATCAAGACATCAAGACCATCCTGGCCAAAATGGTGAAACCCCATCTCTACTAAAAATACAAAAATTAGCTGGGCGTGGTGGTGCATGCCTGTAGTCCCATCTCCTTGGGAGGCTGAGGCAGAAGAAGCGCTTGAACCCAGGAGGCGGAGGTTGCAGTGAGCTGAGATGGCGCCACTGCACTCCAGCCTGGCAACAGAGCGAGACTCCGTCAAAAAAAAAAAAAAGCCACACACACACACACACACACACACACACACACACACACACAAAACAAAACAAACAAACAAAAAACCTCTGACAACAACAACAACAACAACAACAACAAATCCAATTTAAGAATGGGCAAAGGACGTGAAAAGTCATTTCTCCAAAGAAGATATACAAATAGCCAAAAAGCACGTGAAAAGATGCTCAGCATCCTGAGTCATTAGGGGAATGCAAATCAAACCCAGAATGGACACCACTTCATACTCACTAGGATGGCAATGATAATTAAGAATGCAGAAAACACCATGTTGGCAAGGATTTGGGGAAATTGGAATCCTCATGTACCACTGGTGAGTGTGTACAACGGTACAGCCTCTGTGGAAAACAGTTTGGGAGTTCATTAATAAGTTAAACACAGAATTATCATATAACCCAGCAATTCCACTCCTAGGTATATACTCAAAATAACTGAAAAAAGACAATCAAACAAAAATCTTTACATGAATATTTACAACAACACTATTCACAACTTCCAAAAGGCATAAACAACTCAAATGTCCATTTACTGATGAATGGATATACAAAATGAGTTATCTACTTAAAAAGAAATATTATTCAACCATTAAAGGAATGAAATACTGATACATGCTGCATTTTCTGTGAATCTTAGAAACATTATGCTAAGTGAAAGAAGTCAGACACAAAGGGCTACATACTGTATGATTCCACTTAAATGAAATATCCAAAACAGGCAAATCCATAGAGACAGAAAGTAGATTCATGGTTGCCAGGGGCTGGGGGGGACGTGGGAATGGAGAGTGACTGCTAATGGATAACAAGTTCTCTTTTACGTTAATGAAAGTGTCCTGGAACTAGTTGACAGTGATGCTTATGAATATTATGGGTTAACTTGATGCCACTGAACTGCATATCCTAAAATGACTAAAATATGTTTTATGTTGTGTGTATTTTATTGCAACAAATAAAAAGCAGGACAAGTATCCATCTAGCCAAAATATAGCCTGTGCATTTTTAAAGCAATTTTAAAGGTTTCTTTTTCCTCTTTGACCATCTTGCATGGATGCAATAAAACACAGTTCTGAAATGCTAGGACGTCTGTCTGCACTAAAGAAGTCTCATTCCAATTTCAAGGGCTCACTTGCCTCTGGAACTGGCCTTGAGAATGGGAGTGCCTACTCCTCCCTCAACAGCTGACGTAAAAGGGAGAACTTCCTGGAGGCCAGCCAAGAGCCTACTGGGGCATAATCAGGCTGCCCAGCTTGTTGGCTTGGACATGGCTCCTCTCCACTTAGGAGGCTCTGCCCACTCACATTCCAGGCCTCAGCTTGCCATGTTTTCCTGTTAAGCCCAGAACCCTTCCCCTGGGTCCCTTCCTCAGAGGGGACATGTTGGGAGCCACAGTCTCAGAGATACTTGGGATTTTAAACATGATGCAACTCTAGGGCTGACTTTGGAATTCTGTGGGCTGTGCTTGGCCCAGATCCCACCTTTGGGCCACTTTTGCTGCTGCTATTATTTTTAGTTGGTGGGGCAATCATTGTGTGCCTTTGTACAGTTTTCATTTGGGAAGCCTTAGAGCTCTTTAACTCCACTCCATTCTATCACATCCTTGTTTAGCAATGATCATCCTTTTGCATTACAAACTAGAAAAGCAACTCCGTAAGACTAACAAACTCTCTTCAACCAAGTAAAGGAGACTCCTTGTGGAGGGGAGCCCCTGCCCGCTCACCTGGATGACCATGCCTCACCTCTGCCGATCACATGCAAATATTTGTCCTGTTCTGAGACATCCTCCTGGGTCCCAGCTTCTTCTCTTGAAGAGTGAGTTTGATTTGATTTTGTATTTCTGTCTTGAGCTACTTCCTGCTTTATCATTCAACAGCCTAAATTTAGTTCAACACTCCATCTTTACAGTACAGATTTCCAGTGCACCATCAGAAGCCGAAGTAACTGTGAGTGGGAGGCATTGGAGCCGGCTGGGAGGTAAGCATTCGGGCCAGCAGGGAGGAGGAGTCGCCCATGTAGCAGTGCTGGATGACAACATTCCCACACTGCCCTCGGACACATCACAGACCCTGGTACCACAGGATCCCTCTGATTCAACTGAAGAGAGATGCAGAGCTGCATGCCACCAAGTAACTAATTCGTTCTTCTCTTCTTATATCCATTGAGCAGTGTGCAGTGTTGGCACAATGCACAGTACTTGTTAACCACTCCAGGAAAAGAAAGAGCCACTCATTCTGATTAGCTGTCAGAACTAATTTTAAGCTATGTTATTATATGGTAAAGAGGAAAAAGGAAATACAAGGAAACTGTACTTAAAGCCAGTGCCTAATCAGGTTTTTTCCCCTTCGTCTGTTTCATACAAAAGCTCCCTGGAATCACTGGTGTGAACCATTTCATTCCCCTCTTCCGGTGTTAATTACATGTGATATTCTAAAATATACACTCCTCTCTCCAAGTAGACCAAACCGAGCCCTTTGTAAATTGCTCATTGCCCATTCGTTTTCCCCAGCAGCTCCACCTCATTTCCTTGTACCTCCTGTTTCGCCGTGGGGCCACAACTCCAGCAGCACTAAGTATAGAGTAATTATTTCTGCCAGAAACATTCCCCCTAAAAAGGGCTGGGCTGAGTTTGGTGTATGTATGTGTGTACTTGAAAGAAAGGCATATAATAATATCAGGCCTCTTTGTTTTCCCTCTTTTAATACCCACCGGTTCTCCAAGATGTCATTGGCAAACACAACAGCATTTGCTTTTGTTCCCTTTACAAATATTTTCCTCTCAAGGCCTATTTCTTTCTTAAAACTGCTGCGTGTCTCACTATGGAAAGCAATAGTTCTCAATTAGTAGACTGAATGAACTCTGCCTGTGTGGTTTTGATTTAGGAAATATTTACTAAGCTTTTGGTCTAAAACTCCCCAAAATCTGGAGCAGCTGATAGTCTCTTGGGTAAGTGAAAGCAACTCAAATGGTAGGTATTTGTGTTTCAGGTGGGAGTGGGGGCAGAAGAGGGGCCTTGGGAAATCCAGTTAATCTATCTATCACTTCTTTTCCAATCATGTCATTATCCATTCAACAAATAATTGCTGAATGCCTAATATGTGCTTGCTGCTCTTGGGTGAGTTGGGACCACCAAGCGTGACCATTCAACCCAAGGAGAACTCTTATTACTCTTGCAGAAACAGAGCTGGGCATTCTGTAACAGTCTAGAGATTTTACTGGAGTAAGGGACAACCATATGATTTGTCTTTTGGCATAATACAAATTATATTCATTTTTTAAAATAAAAAAATTACTTACTTTTGTATCTTATGGTAAGCATTTCTTCCAATATAGGGAAATGCTAAATGTCTCCAGATTTCTGCATAGGGCTTACATGTTGCACAGATTTGTGACAATCTTGAGATTTGGTTCCTTGAATGGAGTCTCTAATACAAGCTTTCTACTTAGATTGAATGATCAGCCTTGATGGTCCCAACTTGCCCAGGAGTAGCAAGCACATAGTAGACATTTGGAGAGAATCCATCTTTCTATCAGCATAGATTTGGACTAGAAGGTGTCAATGGAAGACCCAGAGATTTAGAATGGAGAATCCAAGTGGTAGAATGAGTTATGAATAGTGGAATGGATTCATTAGATTTAGATTCTTAAAGAGGCCAAGTTGGACTAGATTCTAGAAAGACTGTGGTTAGAGGTACTATTTTTGTTCAAGAACAGAAAAAGGTGAAGTAATACATACTTATGTACAACCAATCAAATTAAACATCTACTATATAAGAAAGATGATGTGAAAAATAATCACATACTTCTATTAACAGAGTTATCCAAGTGGGCTGAATCATGCTTGTGAGTCCCACGTGTGGTACCCAGAACAGAAGAGAAGAATCACACCTGTGCACTGGGCCACATTTCACTTAGGTCCAGGGCACTCCCAATAGGAGGAAGAAACAGCTCCCCCTCAGAGTTATTTTGTCATGAAGAGTCTGGATTTCAGAGTTCCAATGCCCAAGTTAAACAGCTTAAGCTTGGGGGGCCAAAATTTTTTCACAAAAGTGTCACCTATGTGCAATAGGACCTGTGGCTCTTAACCGCCTGAGTTTTCCAGAGTATCAGTGAGTATTCCTTGAGCAGAAACATGATCTTAATGGACTTCTTGGCATGGAGTGGCAGGGTGTGGGTGCATTCTGGATAACTGGACTTTCCCAGTGTTTGAAATTGTGCCATTTGGTTTCCTGACAACTGCTATGGAAAGTTGGGAAAGACAGAAGGTGAAAAGAATCCAGACATATTTTTATCTAAATAATGACATCTTAAAGACAGGCACTGAATGGCCTATGCAGCCCTCACTAGTAGAGGATGTGCAAAGAACAGCAGAATGAAGTCGGAGGCAGCTTTCTTTCCTGTTCCCCTTGGGGACTTTACAGCTGTCTCCTCTCCAGCCCTTCCATATCCCCTACAACTACCAATTATCTTGAGAATCAAAAGCAGCTTTTGTTCAAGCAAAAAATCAATATGTCTTATCTTTGAATATCTCCAAGAGTATTCAAGCTAAATGGGCTTTCTTAAAAGACACATCAGCCAGGACTCCCGAATTAACAGAAGTGATGAGCCTGTGTTTATTAGGGAGCTTCAAAAAGATTAACACGAAAACAATGCCCCGTTCCCCCTCAGGAAATATTGGACAGATACCCAGATATCCGTCTGCCATAGAGATTGAGATTTTGTTTCACTCAACTTGGAAGAGTTGGGGAGATTTAAATCTTGAAACTAACTGCAGATGAATAATACAAAATTAGAGCTTGCCTTGATGTTCCCACCAGGGACACATCCATCTCATTATTAGGTCACTCTGCGTTTGGGGCCTCAACTGAACTTCCCTCTGGCTGGAGATAGTTACACTGTACAACAGTATTTCTCACACTTTAGTGTGCACACAAATCACTTGGGATCTGATTAAAATGCAGATTCAGTAGGTCTGAGGAGCGCCCAAGGATCACAGGTAATGCTGACGATCCATTGAGCACACTTTGAATAGCAAGGATATTGTAAATGTACTCCAATTGTAAATGAGCCAAAAGACATGGGTTCAATCCAAGTAACTTGACTTTGTACAAGTTACTTAATCTCACTAAAATTCTGATTTTTTTTCTCTACAAAATGACAAAGACATTTGCCTCACAGTATTAAGAGTTCAATGAGATAATCAGTAAAGCACTTTATAACTCTACATTGGTTGGTGATCTTGAAGCTTTCTAAGGGGAAATAAGTGCTTGCTTGGATTGTCCACCAAGCATGTATTGGGCAGCTGGTATCCTATGGGCTTTTCCCAGCAGAACTGAGAAGAGGAAGGTGGGGGAGCCCAGCTTCTCGGTGACTGACAGTCTCCATGGCTGCTGTCTTGGGGAGTGGAAGGGTGAGCAAAGGTTAAACTGATTATGGTGCTGCCATCAGAGGCTGGTTGAGAGGCCCCTGGAGAGTGCAAGAGCTAGCTGTGTTCCCTCTTCAGTTCTGAAGGAAAGCCAAGGATACCTATTTCTCTTTCGATTCTGTTTCTTATTAAAGACAAAGGATGGAATATAGAAAAATTTGCTTTAACTGAGATGTTGGAATGAATGAATTTTAGAGACAGATGGAGTGATTCTCTCCTAAGATTAAAAGTGATAACTCATGGAAAAGGCCTTTGAGACCGAAGGCCCTATTATTGTGGAAGCTCATTGTTGAAAAAGACCAACTGGGCCACACGCTGATCATGTTGAATTGGCAAAAAGCTTATAATTCATCCAAATGAAAGTGGCTTCCCTGGGTCTTGGATGGTTATGCAGGGTTAGAGTTAGTGTGAGAGCTATGAGAGATGGCTAGGGTAAAGGTCAAACAAAAAACACATTCCCTTGAATAATCATGAAACTTCTGAAGCAAATGCATATGAAGCCCCTATGATGTTCTGTAATGTTTCTCTAAATCCCTTTTTGCTTTGGTTTTCTGCCAGAAATGGATGCAGATGCATCAGCTACCTCACAAGGAAAACCTGTTCTCACAAGTTTTATCGCACCACTTGGCAGAGAAAAAGGCTTGGGTAGAGGCTGAGAACTTTCACATATAACCAGAAAGCTCGGGAATTCAGCCATCTTGACTTACCACCCACCGCTGAAAAGAAACTTTCGCAAACTCTCAGAGCCAGGATCTAAGAGTCCCCTCCTAATCAGAAAAGGAGGAAACTCTACAAGGTCCAACTTTCTCTTTAAAGGAAATTCTGTAGATGGCTACAAAGCCAGGTCATTTTAGAATTTCTCACGGTAATGAGGAGCTCAAAGACTGGTTGGCATGGTTCTCTTACCTCTATCCTTTTCGTCTCTTTCCTCCCAGCCTCCATTGGCCCAAGGCAAGTTCCCTCAGAAGACTGCACTCCCAGGAAAATGCCAAGCTGGAGCTGGGAGGGATGAGGGCTGGTATAAAAAAAGGAGCAGGAAGAGCAGTTCTTTCTATTTGGGCCATTCTATGTATTTGGAAGTCCATGAGAAATATAAGAAGGGCTCACTCTAAAGAGTAAACAATGTAGATGGCAGGATATGTGACTGGGAATCTGCTGAGAATGTCTTCACATTACTCACAAGTTAATAATTTCCCTAAGAGTGGGAGTTTCTTGAGGATGTTTAGGATTTATTTTTAAGCCTTTTAGAGCTTTGGAATAACACTCACAGTTTCTTTTTTACTATTTTCATGGTGTTCAGAGATTTCAAGCCCACATTTTAGAACCCACCCACCTTCAACAGATGTAGACAAATTAGAAATACGCAGGGACCTCTCAAACTCATTACAGAGCTTATTTGGAACATGTGAATTATATATGCATTTTCTACCTCATTATCTTCATGGGACACTGTATATTGATTTCATTGTAAATCTGCAATGGTAGCATCTCACTGTATATAACCTGCAACTGTGTCCCCAAGCTATTATCATTTGTGCTAATGACAATGCTACCTCCTTTTCACAATTAGTGCTGTGGAGTATATAAGTCAAGAGGCATTTGCTACGAACCTACTAGGTAGATACCAATGCACTAGGGCCTGGGAGGGAAATATGCCCTCAGAAGATTTGCCCCTCCCTGCCTGGTAAAAGAGGCTTCTGAAAAATTATAAAGGGAGGAAAAAACCAGTGAGGAATCTGCATTTCAATCAGATCTGCCCGTGTTTCCAGGTTACCTGATGGGAAAACAAACCATCGAGCTTGCTTACCATTTGTTGATTTCACAGATAATTTTATTCCAAGTGTGAGTAGACCTAAAAGACATGCAAAGATCAATGCAATGTGATTAAATGAGACTGAATCAATAAATTCCAAAAAGTATGGCACACAGTAAGAGTATAATAAATATTGGCTCTTATTATTATCATCATCATACTTATCATTATTTCTGTCATCAAAGACCTCTAAATCTAGTAGAATACATGACATGTATTGCTAATACAATGAAGAAAATATACAGATTATATTGTTGGCACAGATAAAATTCTGTAAGAATTCAGAAAAAAAAGAGAAAATAATTTCAGACTGAGGATAAGAATTGAAGACATATAATAATAAAGAAGTCCAATACCCTTATTCCCTCAGTATGATGTGTCTGAGAAGTATGGTAATACGCCCTTCATACAAGCACTCCAAGTATTCCTGATTTCCTTAATAATATACTATGGCTCTATGCACCATTAATTGATTCCAATCCTTTCAAGATCTGTTTATATATTTAGTCATTTGACCATTAAATAAGGGGGTCTCCAAGCCTATTGTTTGCCAAGTGTCTTTTTTTTTTTTTTTTTTTTTGAGACGGAGTTTCACTCTTGTTGCCCAGGCTGGACTGCAATGGCATGACCTCTGCTCACCGCAACCTCTGCCTCCCGGGTTCAAGCGATTCTCCTGCCTCAGCCTCCCGAGTAGCTGGGATTGCAGGCATGTGCCACCATGCACAGCTAATTTTTTTGTATTTTTAGTAAAGACGGGGTTTCTCCATGTTGGTCATGCTGGTCTCAAACTCCCGACCTCAGGTGACCCACCCGCCTCGGCCTCCCAAAAGTGCTGGGAATACAGGCGTGAGCCACCGCGCCCGGCCACTGAGTGTCTTTAGGTGGTAGAATTATAGTACTTCTTTGGTAATTCTGTGGTCACTCTATTTTTATCTTCATGATTTTATAATTTTTTAATCTCTTACCAGCCTTGCAGTAGTCTAAGTAAGGAATTTTAATATGTCAATTAATGGCCCCAAAATAATTCATCCAATCACTTGACTCTTTGAAATGCTTCCTGCAGGTCTCTAAACTCTCAGTTATCATTTTAAGGTATGATAACAGAACAGTACACAGAAGTTCTTGTGTAGATGTACTTTCGTTAGGTTTAAGAAGGTGATGATGTTTCCATCCTATTGTTAAAAACCCCAAGCAAAGGGACCAGCTTCAGCTTGGCAGGAAAGTGTTCATGTCATGGGCCTTGGAGCATTGCTTGTTATCTAGGTTACAAATAATAATAATAATTATTATTATTATGCTCAATTGTAAATTGGTAATGGCTTTTTATGAAGTTGCCTAAAAGGAAATTGACATAATATGATTAATGTCTCACACATTCTTTTTACTCCTTGTGCTTGTGACTGTATCAATCAGATTACTTATTGAGCACCATTTACATACTCTGCTTTGCGCTGGGCCCCATAGAGATGACTAAAAAAGTATGTGATAGGTCCCCTGTGCTTGAGAAGTTTTAAATCTACCAGAAATGACATGAAATATAAGAAGACAGCACATGATCTCATATGATATCTATAATGAATGTTCTGCAGTAAGTTTCAGGCAAAAAGAGCTTTGAGGAGTTCACAGAGGAGAGAGATCCATGTTGACCAGAGTAGTTAGGGTAGGGGCGGTATTTGGGGGGCTGAGGAGAGCTTTTTTGGTCTACATTGTGGAGCAGAAATGGCCTCTTGTCACAGCCCTTAGTACTCAAGAGCCTTTAGAAGTAAAAATCCCAAGTGGGCTCCTCATCTAATGAAGACTATTCTGTGAGTTCTCGCATGTTTTCAAAGGAGGCAGCTATAAAGAACGGAGTTCTGTGAGTGCTTTCATTCACTCCACATTATTCTCCAGCCGAACCCAATGATCAATCGCCTTTCCCTGAGGAAAATGTCTGAGTTATCTTGTCAGGGAAGATGAAAGTTGGCTGTCATCCTCCTACTTGCCACAGAGGAGAGGGGATTGTTTCTCAGCTGAAAGGGAGCAAGTCTGGTCATATCCTCAACATTATCAGATGTCAAAAAACATCACATCCGCCCCCTTTTGAGAACGTGCCTCGGTGTGATGGTGTGGAGCGATTCACAGTGCAAACACCTGTTTCCCATGATAGGCAAGTGTATGTTTTCTCTTTTCACAGATTAGCCTACACTCCAGGGAAAATTAGTCAGAATAACAGAGCCACAGTGAATTTGGGTCAGGCCGATCCAAGGGCCGGCATCTTGGATTTAAATTCGATCTGCCAGGTTCTTCCTTGGTCACAGCCACACCCTCCCAGCTTCCTGCTACCTGTGGAAGAGGCTTAATGACTGAAAAGGCATGACCTGTGCGATGATCATTCCTAGAAAGTCTTTCCTTTGTTTGCAGTGGTGGACTGTGGGCCATGGGACTGCCTGTAACCAGCACGAACATACAGATAAAGAAGCCTGGATCAAAGCCTCTCAAAGCCAAGCAGAAGCCTCTCTGCCACTCACTCCATAGGCTCATACATCTAACCACCATTAGCTGAACACCTATAACTCTCTGGGCATCTCTCTAGGAACCGCCCATACAAAGATGAGCTCTAAGTCTGGGGAGACATAGGCTGTTTCTCCCAGTGAGAAGAGTTAATGGCAGAAGAGGGCATAGCTCTCCAAAGTCTAAAGGCCTGCATAGTGCTTCTCCTTTTGAGGCTTCTGGAGACTCCAGAGGCCATCTCAGACACGCCATCCACCATCTGATCTGGTAGACCTAAGTTCTCAAGTTGTAGAGCAGCTTAAGTACTAGCTTGGATCTGCTCTGCAGATTTCTTTCTTTCTTTTTTTTTTTTTTATGGAGTCTTGCTCTGTCATCTAGGCTGGAGTGCAGTGGCATGATCTAGTTTCAGGGCAACCTCCACCCCCTGGGTTAAAGCAATTCTCCCTCAGCTTCCCGAGTAGCTGGGATTGCAGGTGAGTGACAACATGCCCGGCTAATTTTTGTATTTTTAGTAGAGATGGGGTATCACCATGTTGGCCAGGCTGGTCTCAAACCCCTGACCCCAAGTGATCTGCCTTCCTCAGCATCCCAGTGTGCTGGGATTACAGGCATGAGTCACCATGCCCAGGCTGCAGATCTTTCTCTTGTTCTTAACTCTTTGCAAAATTGTGTGGGTCAAAGATAACTTGGAACATAGACGAGAACAGCACACCTAACTATGACATCCACTGCCTCCAGAGCTCAAAAACTCACCAGCTGTTATGCCTCTTTCTTGGTGGTAGAAGGTGCAAGATATCACAAATTTGGCTTCATCTCACAGGGAATACCTCCGATCACTGCGCCCCTAGAAACTTCGCCATAGGTTTGGTTTCTACTGTCTGCCACAAGAGAAGTATATGGCAGATAGGGGCTGTTCCTTCAGCCTGGGTCCAGGAGTGAAAAGACACTTGGAACAGGGTCAGGCAGAGCTGCAGACAAGAAGTAGATCTGAGAGCAAGATATAAATGGATGTGGTTACAAGCCTCTGAGATGTGGGAGTTATTTGTTATCACAGCAAGAGCTAACTGATACATCTTCCTATACATTTTATTTCAGCCTAATGTGATTTGTATCCTGATAGATGCCTCATTTTTTCTTATTATCATTTCTTGATTGGCAAATTCAAGTACCCTTTTTCATCTTTTTGTGCCTAAATCCAGGCTTCAATTCACAAGTCAGTTATTTCTTAATCCTTAGTTGGAAATAATTTCTCCAGGTTTAATACCCAAAGCACTTTAGTTGTGTCTTTTTTTACAGTTTATCACTTTCTATCTTGCACTTTATGATTTCTTTGCATGCCTATTGTAGCTACTGTGGTTGATTTCCTAACATCTACTCCATCTAAATCTGTTAGTCTAAACCAAACATTGTAATCCCATCTTTTTATTTGTGATTGTTTTTGCAATGGTATTAGAACAAAATCCTGGTCAATGATAAAATACAAGAAAACTCTGGAGGACTTCCGGGAAAAGTTTCCCTGCTTCCCACCTGCCCCCATCCCCCAAAAAAAAGAGCAAAGAAAGAGACAGAGGTAGCCCTTCTGCCATTACTTCTTTGTCTACTTTGCTAACAGCGTGATGATTAAGCAAACCTAAGGGAAGAGAGCCAGAGCCAAGCTGAAACAAGCACAGAGGAATGCCCTGCGCAGCTCCACGTATATGTCCACTGCAAGCATTCTCCACGGCACCAGTGTGGGCCTTGACCAACACAGACTCAACGAATTTATTTCATAAATAAGTAAAAGGAAAGCCTTTCAGATATTTACATTTTGCATATAAGATCTTTGAACAAAGTGTAAGACAACGACAATTATTGCAGCCTGGAAAGTTGGTAGAGAAACTACTTAATCAAAATCCTCGCGTATACATAGTTTTTAAAGCAAATGAACAAAAAGATAAAATTATTGAGGAAGAACTCCTGCAAAGAAAAAAATAGGGAAAGAACTTTCTGAAACAGATATTCAGTAATCTCACTTTCTGAAGTCTCTGTAAACTAGGATAAAGATTATATGAATTTTCATCTGTACAGGATTCTGCCATAGAATTCCAGTGAGTGCAGCCAAACTAAACAAGGATGGGAACTGGAATTTTTGATCAAAGACCACACATAAAAATAGAGTAGTTTATTATATGAAATAAAATCAACAGATATTTTTGTATTCATATATATATATACACACGTGTAGTAGTTTCATAGAGCGGCCATTCTCCTGTTGCCTCTAAGGACTGCACTGTTTCTCTATTGAACAGAAGAGCAGGTGACTTTTCTTTGGGACCTTTCCACAGCTATGATCTTGAAGCTCCAAAATGGGAAGTCGTCTTTTTGAAGCCTGAAAAAGTTCTGTTACCCCTTGAATTGCTCAACTTCCTAGCATGGAATATATTAATATAAAGCTCCCAGTAAATGAATACTTTAAGTAAGGTGAATGAGGTTCTACAGAGTTTTTGTTTTGTCTTACAAACAGAAGATGTTGGTAAACTGGTCTACTGCCCCATGGACAAGGCGGCTGAGGTGTCAGTCCTTATGAGAAAAAGGACAATTACAAAATCCATTATATAATTATTAATTTCTGGTTTCCTTCAGCCTGGAAAAGAAAAACTCAGTTTTCCCTTGATCTGTGATTCTCCTTCTCCCCCACTTTAAATCCTAAATGCATGGATATTACTGGGGAGAGTAACAAAAGTAAGAGAGACATGGTTACTGGTAAATTTAAAACTGAAACTCCCATTTATGCAACCGATATATTAGGAGGCATGAAATTCTGTCCTACAGCTATTATTTTTTCTCCTTGCAATACTGAAAAAAAAAATTGCTTTATTCAACTGAAATGGTGTGTCTAACATGACAGAATGCTGAAGAATCAATATTCAGTTGCAAAAGTACAGTTATTTATTCTCTCAGACACACAATGAATGATTCTCAGGCATTGATGTGCTCAGCTTGTAAAGGTAGTGCAATCTCAAGGTAGTTGTTCCAGTATGGTGCAGGATTTGAAAATTTTATGTGACATTTCTGTCTTTGGTATCGATTCTCAAGGAAGTGTAAAAATAAAATCATTCTTTATTCTGTGACTCAGTTTACTGCTTTTACAAATGAGCACATTATATGGCAACATTCTTCGCACACAGCCTTGAGAAAAGCAGGCCAGTTGTTCTCCTTTGCTTATTTCCTTTAGAAAATCATCAATCATCGGCTCATCAAATCCCCATCCTGCAGAAAGCAAGTTCTCAGCACATGGTTGTTGCATCAAATACATGGAGAGCAAGCGGCTTTGTGCTTGACCTTTTGAGATAAATGCTAAGTGGGAATCCAAGGAGCAACTTTGACAGGAGCTAGTATGGGAAGAAGGCTAGAGCATGAAAGAAGAGATGGCAAGCTGGGGTCTGGGCTGATCCAAGGCTAGTAACTAAAGAGATCATAGGGAAGGAGAAGAGTGTTTTCTTTGCCTTTTTTTTTGTCTTGTCTTGTCTATTAGAAGATATAAAATTGACATTTTATGAGACACTGATAATATTTTAAACATTTATTTCAAAGATTCATCTCGTACCAATTCTAAGTTGCCTGATAGTGTGTTGCTGTTGGTTGACTTATTTAACTGAGTAGTATTACAAATATTTACTTAGTTAACTAGAAACTGAAAAGGACCATTTTTTTTAAGATTTCCTTAGTACTTTTATTTCCATTCACTCATTTATATAAAATAATTTTATTGAGTAGGAAGCTAAAAATGAACACTGGATATGAGGTGGCTGTGATAATGGGACTTGCAGTTCTTGGCTGTAGGTGGCATAATTGACCCAGAGCTCCACGATTGCACTTTGAAATACACGACCACATTCTGCCAAGGATGTGCGACGGTAGGCAGCCCACATCCCAAAGCCCAAGGCTACGCTTCCCCTGGGCTGCCCCTGGCCAATGGCTAAGTGTGGCAGGGACATAAGGCAGGCTCTTTCCTGAAAGACAAGGACTTCCTGTGATGGGAATCATGGTCCAAGGACTGCCCTTTGAGAATCCAAGGATACTCAAATCTCTTCTCTACAATGGCATAGTATTTGCATATAACCTCATCCTGTACATCATCCTGTATACCTTAAATAATCTCTAGATTACTTAAAATACCTAATACAATGTAAATGCTATGTAAATAGTTGTTTCACTGTATTGTTTTATATTTGTATTTTTTTCCAAATATTCAATCCGTGGTCGGTTGAATCTGCACATGCATAATCCGTGGATATGGAGGGTCAACTGTACTTTCTTAGAACCACACTGCAGTCTAAGACACTTGTTCCCAACCACCCTTCCCTCCTTCCATCTTGTCTCACCTCTGAGTTCTAATGGCCCTCAGCCTCCTCTGCCTTTCTCCCTGCCTTTCTCCCAAATCTCTTTCCCCTCTAAATCTGCGTGTCTCCCTCTTAGAGAGTCCAAATTAGCACAGGGTAGGGGAAGAAAACTAGTCATTTATCATCTTGCTGAGTTCTTACAGGGGCCTACAGGATCTACAATCTGGCCCCTGGCTCCTAGGGGGGAATTAGTGTTAGAATAATCCTAATCACTAGATTAAAGCTTTCTGTACCTTTTCCCAGGAGACGGTTTGACTCTCCAAGGTCAATGGTGTTGCTGACCCGGTACCCTTTGTCCTGGATGGCAATATGAAAGTCTTCTTAGCTTTACCCTTTGTAATCTCTTTTAACTTTCACTAAGGGCATTTTCCTTTTGACACATCTTTACTTTAGATGTATCATCACTTTGGAGCCATATAAACCTGGAATAAGTTACTTAAACTACAGGAATCTTAATTTCCCTGTATATAACTTGGGAACAATAATAATATCTATGTTGTACGGTCATTCATTATTTGTTCGGTAAATATGTATTGAATACCTACTAGGCTCCAGGCATTATGCTGTAAAGAGAATTAGTTAAAATACATAAAGCATGAAGCTCACAAGTTGGCTTATATTAGTTGTTCAATAAATGATACTATTACTGATTTGTTGTTATTTTTATTACTGGCATGATGATTGAATTGTAATTCTGCTCTTTAATCTGAGAAATATTTTACCTTTTTATGGTAATTTTTGCATAGATGATCTTATTCATTATTTGCTATTTTTCAAGTTTAATCCTTAGAATCTTAAAACCCCATTTCTCCCGGTTTATCACTCTCTCTTTACATTCAAATTTCTTGAAAGAATTGTCTATACAGCCTGACTCCATTTATTTACTTACCTTCAGTTAGTCCTCAGCATGCTCTAATCCAGTTTTCTACCTTCATCCTTCCCCAAAACAACTTTATCGTAGGTCATCTATGGGCTCCTTGTTGTTTATATGCATTAGCTTGGGCTGCCATAACAAAGCACCAGAGATTGGGGGGGGTTGAACAACAGAAATGTACTGTCTCGCAGTTCTGCAGGCTGGAAGTCCCAGATCAAGGTGTCAGCAGGGTTGGTTTCTTCTGAGACCTCTGTTCTTGGTTTGTGTCTTTACATGGTGTTCCCTCTGTCTGTGTGTGTCCTGATTTCCAGCACCTTGGGAGGCCAAGGCAGGTGGGTCATGAGGTCAGGAGTTTGAGACCAGCCTGGCCAACATGGTGAAACCCCGTCTCTACTAAAAATATAAACATTAGCCAGGCTTGGTGGCGCAAGCCTGTAGTCCCAGCTACTCGGGAGGCTGAGGCAGGGGAATTGCTTGAACCCGGGAGGTGGAAGTTGCAGTGGGCGGAGATCATGCCACTACACTCCAGCCTGGCAACAGAGCGAGACTCCGTCTCAAAAAAAAAAAACAAAACAAAAAAAGCCCCATCTCCAAATACAGTCACATCGGGAGTTAGGGCTTCAGTGTATGAATTTTATGGGAAACAATTCGGTTCACAACATGCTACTTACTTTTTTCCTTTGCTTGTTTTACTTGACCTTACAGGGTAATTCGAGAGTACTATCCACACTTACTTTCTTGAAACCTCTTTTCTCTGGATTTCTGCAACCCTGACATGTTCCCAATTTGTCTCTTATTCCTCTGGAAAAGGAGACCCTTTTTCAAAATTATCTTTCACTTTCTGACAATTAAATCAAATTGAAGTTTTTCAAGATTTTAACCTTAACTTCTTCCATTCCACTCTCTTTCTAGGTGTTCACATCCATCCAGATGGCTTCAGCCTACGTAGAAAACTCTTGTTTTTTATGTGGAGACTAGAAATGTTGTCTTGACCTTTCTATGCATTTTCCCCTGTCTGGAATATAACAGACATTGAGAAAAACAGAGGGTTTTTTTTTTCCTATTCAGAATGATTGTTGTATTGAAACATATTTACCCCATAAAATCACCTGTTATTCCATCGTACCAATACATTCGTAGGAGGGAATTTCCAGACTAATCGCAGATGAATTTGTGTGGCCCTTTACAGAGCTGACCCACATGTGTAGCTGTTCTTGACATGAAGGTGGTGGGGCAAGAGGGGAAATTCCAAGCTGCAGAGTACGTGAAAACAGTTTTTTAAAGTTGACTGCAATCTCCATTGCAACTATTCTGTGGCTCTGTCATTGTATGACTAAGGACTCTGATGCTGCTGCCACACACTGCCAATGGGGAATTTTTGTAGTCTGAGCTAAGTTATTTCATTTGCTAGGCTATGGTGAACAGTTTCAAGATATTATAACTCTCTTGATGTTAGATGTAATTATACAGATCCTGAGATGGTGCATTACCATTACCAATTAGAAATGAAAATCCGGGAAGGGTGTGAGGATGGAGGGGGAGTGAGGGATGAGAAATTGCTTAATGGATATAGTATACCTCACTCAAGTGATGGTGACACTAAAAACTCAGACTTCACTACAATATATCCATGGAACAAAGCTACACTTGTACCTCTTAAATTTATACAAATTTTTCAAAAAAAAATGAAAGGGGTAAAATTCAATCATTCATAAAGAATGGGTGTGTTAAGTGGCTACACCGGGAATCAAGTATAGTGCTAGTGAGTGGAGAGGCGGGGAAAATGGAGGATGGGAGGGTCCCAGATACAAGCTCCTCAACCTCATCAATGTCATGATTGTGCCTGGACCAGCCCTGTTCATTACAATCAGAATCCCTCCTGTGCGTCTTGGACATAAGCCTTAGCTAGCTGGCCAACCTCAGAACAGACCCTGCCCATGTTTGTCCCAAGGCAGCCTAACTCCATTTTTTATTTAGATATGCAATTCTGGCCATTCAAGCTTCTTTCACCAGGAACTATTTAATTATATGCATTCCATGTTCGTCCTGAGGTAAATTAGCCTAAGTGATTATTGTATCAAACCCTCCAACTAAATTGTGCTCAAGGACATCTAACCTCTTAAATGTTATATAAATGAACATAACTGGACTTACATAATTTTTAAATAATGCATGATATTTGTACCTATTTGGGGGGGTACATGTGACTTTTTTATATACGTATACAATGTGTAACGATCAAATCACAGTATTTAAGATTTCCATCACCTCAAACATTATCATTTATTTGTGTTGGTAACAATTTCAAATCTTCTCTTCTAGCTATTTTGAAATCTACAATAAATTATTGTTAACTACAGCCACCCTATTATGCTATGGAACACTGAAACTTATTCTTTTATCTAAATATATATATATATATATATATATACATTTTTAATCTATTAACCAAACTCTCTTCATCCCCCTAAAACACACCCTTGCCAGCCTCTGGTAACTATCATTCTAATTTCTACCTCCATGAGATCAACTTCTAGAGCTCCCACATGTGAGTGAGAATATTGGATATTTGTCTTTCTGTGCCGGGTTTATTTCACTTAACATAATGACCTCTGGTTCTACCCATGTTGCTGCAAATGACAGGATTTCATTCTTTTTTTGTGGCTGAATGGTACTCCATTGTGTATATTTACCACATTTTCTTTATCCACTCATCTGTCTGTGGACACTTAGGTTGATTCTGTATCTTGGCTATTGTGAATAGCGCTTTAGTAAATATCCAAATTCTGCCAGGCTCATACCTGTAATCCCAGCACTTTGGGGGCTGAGGCAGGAGGATTGCTTGAGGCCAGGACCAGAGCAACATAGATAATGATAATGCTTGAGATCAGCCAGGGCAACGTAGACAGATTCCATCTCTACAAAAAACAAAAAAAATAGCCAGTTGTAGTGACATGCCTCTGTGGCCCCAGCTACTCAGGAGGCTGACAAGGGAGGATCACTTGAGCCCAGGAGTTCAAGGCTGCAGTGAGCTGTGATCGCACCACTGAACGCCAGCCTGGGCGACACAGTGAGACCCGTCTAACAAAAGAAAGAAAGAAACAAGGTGTAGGTATCCCTTTGATGTACTGATTTCCTTTCCTTTCGATAAATACCCAGTGGTGGGATTGCAGGATCCTGTGGTAGTTCTGTAGCACCCCCGGGTGGATATGGGGTATGTCAGTGGTACTCCAGGCATGTGGGGTGCGGGGGTGGTTAGGCCCCAAGGCAGGGTGTAATCTGGCGGGGGATGGGCTCCCCAAATGCCACTGCACTGCCACTGCTTGGGTCCCAGGGGTGTGTAGGACCCAGTGTGAACCCATCTTTGGAACAATGCCTACTGCAGATGGCTGTCTGTACTAGTCTCAGAGCCCCCAAAGGCCAAGGGGCTCTTCTGCGCCTAGGAATGTAGGAGTCCGCTGTGCTTGTGTGGACCACTGGGGCCTCTCACTTACCTTCTCCCCCAGCCAATCCTGGCTGCCTGGCTGCTTTGCTGCCCTCTCCTTCCCTGCCCCCAGGGTCCCTTGTCACTTTCCTGCTGAATTCTAGTGTGGTCTCCGACAGGCTCTATTCAACGTGCGTTTTTCTACTCGCGGTTTTGGTTCTTTGTGGAGGAGGCCAGTGCTGGGCGCCTCTTGTCGGGCATCTTGAAGCCTCGTCCGCGCTGATGTATTTATATTCTTTCCATGGCTCTAACTCAAAATAGTTCCAGGAGATATTGGTTGATTTCTTGGATTTTTTGTTTCTTTCTTTTTGTCTAACAAGTTTAATTTTACTTAAGAACAAAACGGGCCAGGATCCGTGGCTCATGCCTGTCATCCCAGCTTTTTGGGAGGCCAAGGCAGGAAGATCACTTGAGTCTAGGAATTCAAGACCAGTCCGGGCAACACAGCAAGACCCCATCTCTATAAAAAAATAAAAAGTAAAAGAAGGTAAAACAAAAACCAAAAAAAAAAACTCCACAAAACTTAGAAATCTCCCTCTCCTTAGGTGACAGAGTTCCCTTGTGTTAGCTTCACCCAGTATGTGTGAGGGAACCTCGCCCCACCTTATCTAAAGCCTTAGGATAGGGACAAATGGGATTTCCAGATATGTGCCCAAATCAGTGCAAAGGGAAAACCTCTAACCAGTAAGAATGATGGGGATACAGATACCTTATGTGACTTTTCTTTGAAGAAAAAGGTAAAAGGAACAGTTTCACCTATTTCAAGTGCAGTTAAATGTGATCCAGGAAAATGAAGGTGATTCCTGTGCTAGAATGATTTGTCCCTCCCATCTCTGTCCCTTTTCCCACAAATACCTATGTATGTTTTCTGTATATGGGGCTACCACTGAATTTAAAAGGCACTTAGAGAAGTGAAGACTTCCACAAAAGAGGAAATGAAAGAGGGATAAAAATGAACTTCTGATTTCAGCTGAACTCACCCAGATGGCAAAGAGAAAAAAAAAAGGTGACAATTTTGACCTCAGAAAGCAGTATAATAGTAAGAAAAGTCAACTTGAGCTCAACTCCAATTTCCTATTTGACGGCTAAATAAATGTTAAATGACTTTGTAAATATTTTTAAATGAGTGGTTTTGGAGTGGGAGTGGTGAAGAAAAAAGGGAAAAGAGGTTAACTACCACACATAAAACAACCAGTTCATGCAGCCTATGGCCAATTTTTACAGCTGGATTCTTATAAACTGCTTGAAGAATTGGGCGAGAGACGGGTTTATGATGTTACCATGGCAGTCCTGCAGTTTTTTGACAAAATATTGTGACACTAAAGCAGATGTACTGTGGGAGGTAGACATAGTGGTTGCGACAAGTATGAAGGAATTTAAGACCCTCACTAAATATTTCAGCGAAGAATGTCTCACCGAACTGCCACAGGATTTAATTAGCTGTGGAGTAAGAGGTGAAGGGTTAATCCAAGGTCAATGTGGAGGACAAGGAAGCCCCTGACACATGCAGCTATTTGATATTTGCTGAATGCCACATTGCAGTCAATTGGAATAGTAAATTAGCCTAGCAGGAGAAAGAATAGGAACTTAGTTTCTTTAAATCAATTGGATATGATGGTGTTCAATTATTTAATTTCCATATGCGTTTCTCTGAGCTTCTTTCTGTCAATCCAGTAATTTCTTCTGAAGTGTTAAAAGTGCCTGCCAAGCAAGGAAGACGTATACTCCAGCTTTCAAAGTGAGAAACAATTTGATTGAGCTCAATTAAGAACAATTGAATTGTATTTAATAGTGTTTGGTGTCTATATTTGCCTCTTTATACTACTTCAAATGTTTTGTTTTGTTTTGTTTTTCTCATTCACGGAGGAGGGGGGGAGAAAAAGCTGTCGGGCTGACATTTTTTCCTACCCACAGAATTCAGAGCAAGCTTGTTTGCTTGAATAGAACAAACTCCGAAACCCTGTCTAGAATAAAGGAAAATTTCTCAGGCATATTGAGCACCTCAATCATTCGTTAATTGAGTCAACAAATATTCCTTGAGCATCTGTTATGGACCAGGCATTGTGCAACGCACTGTCTTCCCACCAATCAAACATAGAAACCCGATAAGTTGGGATATAAAACAATGGCATCTCTTCAAAGGAAAGCCCTCAGGTGGGCAGAAGGTATTCTCAGTCTACTAACTCAGAGTGATTAAACTGTTGATCACCTCTGTAACAAATCCAAGTTGCAGAGAGGTTAACTGATTTGTCAAAGATAACCAGCTACTTTAGTATGTGCAAATGAAGTAAATAATTTTCTGATTTTTATTCTCTGGTTTAACTACTAGATAGATTTTCCATGGTATTTCTCTAATAAATTATTTGTCTACATACTTACGGTAAGGGCACATTTTGACTTTTTTTCATTTTTTAAGAATTTTGACTGATAGTAAACTCACATACACACTCAAAAGTGAATATTTAGTCTGACTTGAGTGTTGTGAATAAGCAAATATCTTCTATTCCAAATTAATGTGGTCAGGAAGAGAGAAGAAAAATCAACGAACTTTAGCAAACTTACAGAATAGTAAACTCCCAAGAGTCCTCAGTCTTGTTAAGGTGAAAAGAAAACGTGAGCCACCATTTAACCATGTTATCACATTAGGGATCAACCATGCATCCAAGCCAAGTTACACCAAGTACAGTGTTAGCCAAGAAACGCTAGCCTTAGCAGAAAGCACTGGGCAATTCTAACACCACTGATGTCTGCAGAAGTGCTTTCAGGAGCTCCATTCAGCAACAGGCTTAAAGGGAATAATTAAAGATTAGGCCTAAGGCTGGGTGAATGCTACTGCCTTTACCAGCTGCCCTTCAGGGCTGACCTTGGAGCTGAAGCACCTGACAGCTGTGAACCAACGTCAGCAGTTGTGGAAACAAGATACCGCAGTTTCTTTACCCCTACCCCAACAGCTCATGCAATTTGCTCAGTTGAAATCTATTTCCTGAATGCCTACTCTGCAGCAGGCATTGGACTGCCTGCTAGGAATACCGTTCTGGACAAGACAGACAACACACTGTCCTTGTATCATCCAGTAGAATCCATGGTATAGGAGTGTGAGTTAGTGATCCAGATATTTCATTCAATTGACTTTTTAATTATATGGAATTGAGCATCCTTTTGCTCTGGTCCCACTAGAGATCTCTTGTCCTGGAAGATGCAAGGAACAAGGACCTCTTCTTCATGGAGGTCCTTGACTGGAGATGTGCCTGCCTACCCAGCGCCTACATGTGGCAGAATGTCACAGAGGGATGTGGTCAGAGTCCCCAGAGCCTTCTTTGGATTTGCAGTGCCTACATGACTCTCACAGCGCTACTAGGAGCTGTTAAATGCATGCAGCCGATCTGGCAGTGGTAGTTACATTTTACCCACCTTTGATGCTCAGTCCCTCCTTGGGAGCTCTCCTCTTCTGCAAGTGACTCCTGCAGAAACCCAACAACATATGTGTCTGTGTCTGGAAGAAACATTAGGAAGAACAAGACCAGGAACATGGTGCTCAGTTCCATGATATATATTTTCATGAGATTCTTAGTTGGCTGCGTCATAAATGTTCAAACTAAACTAACATAAATTACTCTTATTGCTTCATGAATCTTGATCTTTATAAAGGAAGAGGCTTATTTATAAAGAAAAGAGGCTTATTTGGCTCACAGTTCCGCAGGCTGTACAAGGAGCATGGCACCAGCATCTGCTTCTGGTGAGGGCTGCCGGGAGCTTCCACTCACAGAAGGCGAAGGAGAGTAGGCATCACACAGCAAGAGGAAGAGAGCAAGAGAGAGGAGTACCAGGTTCTTTAGATAACCAAGGAATAGATCTACTTAAACTAGTTGAAGCAAAGCAGCATCAAAACTTCTGCCCAAAGAATGACTATCATTGTTAAATACTGAAACAGGAAAGATTCCCTTGTCCGACTAGCAGGGTATACGACAGGGGAGTGGCTGGCGTCTTCAGCGCCCCGCTGCTCAAATCTCTAGGGGACCACACAGACGGGCAGGCTGTGGGGCTCCGACCCCACGGCCTGTGTCTAGGGGTGAATGTTTACAGCTCCTGAAGCCCCAGTGGGAGTATGTTGCAGGGTGCTCTTTTAGTTTGCCGTCCACAGGCAGCTTGTGTTAGGTCAATTAGACCCTCTACCTTGTCGCAAGGACAGAGGAATTTCTGTATCCTGAGGTTTCTAGCCTTAGTGGACTGGAAGAATCGGATCACACGTGGGCTTGAAGAATGGAGTGAGTGCACAGGTTTTATCGGGGAGTTCTCAGCAGATGGGGGAGCCAGAAGGGAGATGGTTTTCCCCTGGAGTCCGCCACCGGCCCTGGCTCTCCTCAGACTGCCCCGGCAAACTCCACGTCGTTCTGCTGGTCAGTGGCCTATCGGCACGCCAGAGCTGGGGCCAGTGCGTTCCTCCGCCGCGATGTGCTCTTTTGGACCTCCAGCTGCTTCTGTCTCTGTCTTGCTAGGGTCTCGGGTGTTTATAGGCCCAGGATGGGGGCGTGGCAGGTCAGTGTGGTCTTGGAAAATGCAACATTTGGGCGCGAAGGCAGAAGTGCCTGTCCTCACCTAGGTCTGTGGGGGTGGAGCCCTAGCCAGGGGCCACGCCCTTCCTCTACCCAGCACTTCTCTTCCCCCACTTCCCTGTCATTTATAGCGACCACACTCTTCTCTTCCCAGCACTTCCGTATCAATATTACTTAAAGCTAGCTTTGAAAATTAGTTGTTTGTTCCTAGAAAGGGTGAAGGACACCAGCTCAGAAGTATTCCTGTTGAGGACATGTGAGATGTCGATGTCAGTTAATCTGTTCCACTGACCCTCAGATAGCCAGACAATTATCAGAAAATTCTTCCTTTTCACTGGTAGTAGGAAAAACACTTCCATGAACACAACTCTCTTCTTATAAAATCAGATGATTATTTGGATATGCTTAGTATCTTTTAAAACCATAGGTTAATATACAGCATAGAAGAAAAGCAATTTAAGAAAAGGGGGGCTCTGAAACTCCAAAGCCCTTAAGACCTTCTTGAAATCCATGGAAGAAAACAAAGGTGATGTTGAATGTATTTCATATTTGGAAATCAAATAATAAGTAAGGGTTCCCACTAAGGTCTGCTATATTGATAATCACTTAGACTTTTTGTGAGCTAAATCTTCTGTGGTTGCTACAGCAAACATTTATTGAATACCTTCTAAGTATGAGACTCAGTACTAGGATGTTTTAAAGATTATACAATTCTTATTTAAGATGTGATATATAGTGATTAAATCTCATTCACAAAAGTAGGGTTTTAGTTGTGCTTGAGCTTATATGTAAAGGTATGTACATATACATGTATGCGGTTTGTTCTTCCTATTTGCAAATGCCCATATTGGGAGAAAATGCCAGTGCCAGTCAAAGCCAACTGAATTGTTGTGCATTGACACATACTGAGAAAAAAAGGGCACAGCAACAAAAATGTTCTAGTCCCAATCAAGCGATAAACAAAATAAACAAAAGATATTCAAATCAACTTTAAAGAACCTGTTTTTGCTGAGTTTTGGAAGAAACATTAAGACAGTGGCTCAAGTTCCCACTTGAACATGAGTGTTTGTTGTTATTTTTAATGCTAGTTTTAAGGTTGAATTCATTAATGTCATGGTTTTGAATAACTTGAATTTTATTTACCTCTGGGCAGGTGAGCCTCCCTACAAATGACCATGATGTAGAAAACACTTGCACACATAGACATATGTGTCACATGGATGTATAGTACACTTCTTAGGTCAAGTTTTTTTTTTTTTTTTTGAGACGGAGTCTTGCTCTGTCACCAGGCTGGAGTGCAGTGGCACAATCTTGACTCACTGCAACCTCTGCCTCCCAGGTTCAAGCGATTCTCCTGCCTCAGCCTCCCGAGTAGCTGGGACTGTAGGTGTGTGCCACCACACCTGTCTAATTTTTGTATTTTTGGTAGAGACAGGGTTTCACCATGTCGGCCAGGATGGTCTCAATCTCTTGACCTCATGATCTGCCTGCCTCAGCCTCCCAAAGTACTGGGATTACAGGCATGAGCCACTGCGCCCAGCCAAGATTTTTTCAGTTCGCATGAGAGGGAGGCCTTTGGGGAGACAGGTGGATACTGAGCTCTTCTTGGTAACAGGAAAGCCATTAGAATAGGAAGCAGTGAATCAGGTGAAGAATCAGAGTGAGGAAGGAGCCAGTGAAGCTGCAGTGGGTCAGAAGCATAGTCACAGGGAGGTTGGGCGTTATCTCAGTGCATTTGCTATAAAGGAACACCTGAGGAATGGGTCATTTATAAAGAAAAGAGGCTTAGTTGGCTCACAGTTCTGCAGGCTGTACAAAAAGCAAGGTGGCAACATCTGCTTCTGGTGAGGGCTGCAGGGAGCTTCCATTCACAACAGAAGATGAAGGAGAGCAGGCATCACTTAGCAAGAGGAAGGGAGCAAGAGAGAGAGGGGAGAGGTACCAGGCCCTTTCAAACAACCAACTCTCAGGTAAGCAAATAGAGCAAAAACTCCTGCATTACCACAAGTGGATACCAAGCCATTCATGAGGGATCCGCCCCCGTGACCCAAACACCTCTCACCAGGCCCCACCTCCAACAAGGGATCAAATTTCAACACGAGATTTGGAGGAGACAAATATTCAAAGTAATCAGGAACTCTGGCAGAACTTCAAATGCCGAGAGTGGAATTTTGAGGTTAAAATTAATGGCCATGATAGTTACTAGAAGCTTTTGAAATATGAGTGGGTTTAATTATTTGACTGAGTTGATGTCAATAGCCTGAGATAGTAACAATGATGATTGTGTGCTGTTGCTGTTCTTCAGCCCTTCGCACTAAGGAAAGTTCTTCGAAGCCCACAGCCAGCTTGCAGGTGGAGAGGGCAGATAAAAAGAAAATGGTCATGAACATAAGCATGATTCTGCCGTTTTCTATGGCTCTGGACAGACCAGTTGCCTGAGATACCTCCAAAATTCATTTAGAAAGATGTGACAAGAAGGTTTCAGTGTTAGAACGTTGACGTCTAAGTTATTTATGGCAGAGTCCCAGCTGCCGCCAGAATTCCCCTTCTTAAAATAACCAACAGGTGGGTGACCTGGTCTTGAAGAACATTGTATCAGAGTATGCATGGGATACAATACTGCCTTCTTTCTTTTCTTGCTTAGGTAGTACTACCTTTAGCTAGTAATAAGACCCCTTGAATTTTGGAATTCAGGTATCAGAAAAAAGCTGCTAGCTCAGTGCCTTTTATATACACATAGGTATTTAATACATGTTTTTGCTTATCGATTGGTAAAAACTCCTAAAGATAGGTGCATGCTTGTGTGTGTGTAATGATTTTTAGAGATTATGGGTTTGGAACTGTCTTTGTTCTATTTAGATCAATATGATCATCCATTTATCTTGCTCTTCTTGTTTTTTATTGACTTTTTTCCTGTAATGTATGTACCAAAAGTATTTGCTGTTGCATCTTCTTAAGAGAATGCAAACATGACCGTGTTTCCTTTCTCTCAGAAAAAATGACAATTCATTTTCCAGAAATCATTTAAATTAAAATTGATGTTCTTTGGACATTAAAAAAAGGGGTGGGGCAGCATGAATTTTTTTCTTCTTGTAGTTTGACTGCTCACTGGCAAGAGGAGAAAGCCAGTCCTGAAGCCTGGGGTTGCTAGACTGGCCACCTTTCCCTCCTGTCTTTCAGCATGCCCTTTTAAGAGCAGGAAACATGAAAGGGTTTGGCTCAGACCCCAATTCCACTAAAGGCGTTATCCAATTGGCACTGAGGTCTGTCTCTGGCCTTGGTGGCTTCCCTGATGGCTGTAGCATTTGTTCCACAGCAATGACATTCAAATCCCGAGAGATGCATGAAAACACAAAAATAATGTGTGGTGAGGAAACAAGTCTCCTAACTGGTTCTTCAACAATCCTCCTTTGTGTCAAACCCAGATTGCATTTGGTTGGATGCAGGGACAATGCTAGGCCATGAAGAAAACAGAGATCAAAGGAGATGGGATTTCCAGAGGCTAGGAACAGAGGCCCTCCAAGCAAGAGAGGCACTCACAAAGTCAGTGAAGCTGTGGTGGTAATCTTGGTTGTAGGTGAGGAACCAGAACAGACCCCAAGAGTGGCAAGGGTCATTCTGGAAATGTACAGCTTAAAGAACACAGCTAAAATCTAGGGTAGATAGCAAGGTGAAACAGAGAGCCCATGAGCCTTGGAATCAGAAAATCAGAATTCTGGTCTTAGTCTGTCTCCAAGCAACTGTGAGTTCTTGGCCAGATAGTTTATCCCATCTGAGCCTCAATTTCCTCGTCTCTGAAGTGTAGGGTTTGGATTAAATGACCTCTTAAGTGCCTTTAATTTTTTATAATTATATGCCTGAGAGAAGTTGTCATTGTAATTTGGCCCTATTGGGGTTATGTTTTTTAAAGCTTGATAACAAGGAAAGTTTGCATGACAAAGTATACTTATCTGATTTAGAATTATTATTTCCTTTAATGTTTTCACATTACCCCCTTGGCGAGGTTCATTAAATTTGCCATGTGCAATGGATCTAAGGATTCTGATCCTGATACAATAAGATGTCTATTGAGCATCTCAGGTTGGTTATCAGCCCATTCTTCATTGCCTGTGGGTGACAACACAGAACACATGTTTATCATTCATCTGACCAGGATCCTTGCATCAGATTTTCAAGAAAGTTACAGGAGCAGCCATGGTCAGTGATAAAGAAATTGTTTCACTGAAAAATAGATAGGCAATGAGACATCCTTTGGACAGAACCAAGCAAAACTGGATTTTTGGACCTTAGATTTAGAATATAATCCCTCAGCTTGAAAGGGTTAATATAGGCCTTAGAAAGCATGTTGATATACATTTTTAAATTGATAAAGACCACCAAATTCTCCTCTTCTGGAGGAAGGTGAAGCTCAGAAAAGTTGAGTGAATTCTCCAGAGAAATATAGCTGGTTAAGGCAGGACTGAGGCTCAGTCTAGGTTATTCCACTCTCTATTCAACACTTTCTCTCTTTTCCCCATCAGTTTTTTTTTTTGTTTGTTTGTTTGTTTTTTGATGGAGTCTCACTATGTCACCCAGGCTGGAGTGCAGTGGCACAATTTCAGCTCACTGCAACCCCTGCCTCCCAGGTTCAAGTGATTCTCCAGCCTCAGCCTCCCAAGTAGCTGGGACTACAGGCTCTCTCCACCACGCCAGGCTAATTTTTTGTATTTTTAGTACAGATGGGGTTGCACCATGTTGGTCAGGCTGGTCTCAAACTCCTGACCTCAAGTGATCCACTCACCTCGGCCTCCCAAAGTGCTGGAATTACAGGCGCAAGGCACTGTGCCTGGTCCCCCATCAGTTTCTTCTTAACTGAACCAGCCATATTGGAATATTGGAAGCTGGAAGACATCAGTCTCCTAAGTGGTGGCATCAAAACCTGCACAGCTGAGGGGACCTGGGCAAAATGGTCAAATAGGAACAGCTCTGGTCTGAAGCTCCCAGCAAGATTAATACAGAAGGCAGGTGATTTCTGCATTTCCAACTGAGGTACCTGGTTCATCTCATTGGGACTTGTTAGACAGTGGGTGCAGCCCATGGAGGGCAAGCCAAAGGGGGGTGGGGTGTTACCTCACCCAGGAAGTGCAAGGGGTTGGGGAACTCCCTCCCCTAGCCAGGGGAAACCATGAGGGCCTGTGCTGTGAGGAATGGTGCATTTGAGCCCAGATACTATGCTTTTCCCATGGTCTTCATAACCCACAGATCAGGAGATTCCCCTGGGTGCCTGCACCACCAGGGTCCTGCGTTTCAAGCACAAAACTGGGCAGCTGTTTGGGTGGACACTGAGCTAGCTGCATGAATTTTTTTCATACCTCAGTGGTCCCTGCAACACCAGCAAGACAGAACTGTTCACTCCCCTGGAAAGGGGGCTGAAACCAGGGAGCCAAGTGGTCTAGCTCAGCAGATCCCACGCTCATGGAGCCCAGAAAGTTAAGATCCACTGGCTTGAAATTCTTGCTGCCAGCACAGCAGTCTGAAGTTGACCTGGGATGCTCGAGCTTGGTGGGGGAGGGGTGTCCGCCATTACTGAGGGTTGAGTAGGCAGTTTTCCTCTCACAGTGTGAACAAAGCTGCTGGGATGTTCGAACAGGGTGGAGCACACCACAGCTTGGCAAAGCCAAAGTCACTGTAGCCAGACTGCCCCTCTAGATTCCTCCTCTCTGGGCAGGGCATCTCTGAAAGAAAGGCAGCAGCCCCAATCAGGGACATATAGATAAAACTCCCATCTCCCTGGGACAGAGCACCTGGTGGGAGGGGCAGCTGTGGGCGCAGCTTCAGCAGACTTAAATGTTTCTGCCTGCCAGCTCTGAATAGAGCAGCAGATCTCCCAGCACAGTGCTCAAGCTCTGCTAAGGGACAGACTGCCTCCTCAAGTGGGTCCCTGACCCCTGTGCCTCCTGACTGGTAGACACCTCCCAGCAGGGGTTGACAGACACCTCATACAGGAGAGCTTGGGCTGGCATCTGGCAGGTGCCCCCTGGGATGAAGCTTCTACAGGAAGGAACAGGCAGCAGTCTTTGCTGTTCTGCAGCCTCTGCCAGTGATTTCCAGGCAAACAGGGTCTGGAGTGGACCTCCAGCACACTCAAGCGGACCTGCAGCAGAGGGCTCTGACTGTTAGAAGGAAAACTAACAAACAGAAAGGAATAGTATCAACATGAACAAAAAGGACGTCCACTCAGAGACCCCATCCGAATGTCACCAGCATCAAAGACCAAAGGTAGATAAATCCACAAAGATGGGGTGAAACTAGCGCAAAAAGGCTGAAAATTCCAAAAACCAGAATGCCTCTTCTCCTCCAAAGGATCACAACTCCTCGCCAGCAAGGGAACAAAACTGGACGGAGAGTGAGTTTGATGAATTGACAGAAGTAGGCTTCAGAAGGTGGATAATAACCAACTCCTCCAAGCTAAAGGAGCATGTTCTAACCCAATGCAAGGAAGCTAAGAACCTTGAGAAAAGGTTATACAAATTGCTAACTAGAATAGCCAGTTTAGAGAGGAACATACCTGACCTGATGGAGCTGAAAAACATAGCATGAGAACTTTGTGAAGCATACACAAGTATCAATAGCCAAATCGATCAAGCAGAAAAAAAGATATAAGAGATTGAAGATCAACTTAATGAAATAAAGCATGAAGACAATATTAGAGAAAAAAGAATGAAAAGGAATGAACAAAGCCTCCAAGAAATATGGAAATATGTGAAAAGACCAAATCTACGTTTGCCTAGTGTACCTGAAAGTGATGGGGAGAATGCAACCAAGTTGGAAAACACTCTTCAGGATATTATCCAGGAGAACTTCCCCAATCTAGCAAGACAGGCCAACATTCAAATTCAGGAAATACAGAGAACACCACAAAGATACTCCTTGAGAAGAACAACCCCAAGACACATAATCTTCAGATTCACCAGGGTTGAAATGAAGGAAAAAATGTTAAGGGCAGCCAGAGAGAAAGGTCAGGTTACCCACAAAAGGAAGCCCATCAGACTAACAGCAGATTTCTCTGTAGAAATCCTACAAGCCAGAAGAGATTGGGGGCCAATATTCAACATTCTTAAAGAAAAGAATTGTCAATCCACAATTTCATATCCAGCCAAACTAAGCTTCATAAGCAAAGGAGAAATAAAGTCCTTTACAGACAAGCAAATGTTGAGAGATTTTGTCACCACCAGGCCTGCCTTACAAGAGCTCCTGAAGGAAGCACTAAATATGGAAAGGAAAAACCGGTACTAGCCACTGCCAAAACATGACAAATTGTAAAGACCATCAACACTATGAAGAAACTGCATTAACTAATGGGCAAAATAACCAGCTAGCCTCATAATGACAGGATCAAATTCACACATAACAATATTATCCTTAAATATAAATGGCTTAAATGCCCCAATTAAAAGACACAGACTGGCAAATTGGATAAAGAGTCAAGACCTGTTGGTGTGCTGTATTCAGGAGACACATTTCACATGCAAAGACATATACAGGCTCAAAATAAAGGGATAGAGGAATATTTACCAAGCAAATGGAAAGCAAAAAAAAAAAAAAAAAAAAGCATGGGTTGCAATCCTAGTCTCTGATAAAAGAGACTTTAAACCAACAAAGTTCAAAAAGACAAAGAAAAGCATTACATAATGGAAAAGGAATCAATGCAACAAGAAGAGGTAACTATCCTAAATATATAGGCATCCAATACAGGAGCACCCAGATTCATAAACCAAGTTCTTCGAGACCTACAAAGAGACTTAGACTCCCACACAATAATAGTGGGAGACTTTAACACCCCACTGTCAATATTAGGCAGATCAACGAGACAGAAAATTAAAAAGGACATTCAGGACTTGAACTCAGCTCTGGACTAAGCGGACCTAATAGGCATCTACAGAACTCTCCACCCCAAATCAACAGAATATACATTTTTCTCAGCACCACATCACACTTATTTTAAGACTGACCACATAATTGGAAGTAAAACACTCCTCAGCAAATGCAAAAGAATGGAAATTATAAAAACAGTCTCTCAGACCACAGTGCAATCAAATTAGAACTCAGGATTAAGAAACTCACTAAAACCACACAACTACATGGAAATTGAACAACCTGCTCCTGAATGACTACTGGGTAAATAACGAAATTAAGGCAGAAATAAATAAGTCCTTTGAAATCAATGAGAACAAAGACACAACATACCAGAATCTCTGGGACACAGCTAAAGCAGAGTTTAGAGGGAAATTTATAGCACTAAGTGCCCACGGGAGAAAGTGGGAAAGATCTAAAATCAACACTCTAACATCACAATTAAAAGAACTAGGCAAACAAATTCAAAAGTTTCAGAAGACAAGAAATAACTAAGATCAGAGCAGAAGTGAAGGAGATAGAGACATGAAAAACCCTTCAAAAATTAATGAATCCAGGAGCTGTTTTTTTGAAAAAATTAACAAAATAAATAGACAGCTAGCCAGACTAGAAGAAAAGAGAGAAGAATCAAATAGACACAATAAAAAATGATAAAGGGGATATCACCACTGATCCCACAGAAATACAAACTACCATCAGAGAATACTATAAACACCTCTATGCAAATAAACTACAAAATCTAGAAGAAATGGATAAATTGCTGGACACATACACGCTCCCAAGACTAAACCAGGAAGAAGTCGAATCCCTGAATAGACCAATAACAAGTTCTGAAATTGAGGCAGTAATTAATAGCCTACCAACCAAAAAAAGTCCAGGACCAGACAGATTCACAGCCGAATTCTACCAGAGGTACAAAGAGGAGCTGGTACCATTCCTTCTGAAAGTATTCCACACAATAGAAAAAGAGGCACTCCTCCCTAACTCATTTTATGAGGCCAGCAACATGCTGATACCAAAACCTGGCAGAGACACAACAAAAAAAAGAAAATTTCAAGCCAACGTCCCTGATGAACATAGATGTGAAAATCCTCAATAAAATACTGGCAAACCAAATCCAGCAGCACATCAAAAAGCTTATCCACTACAATCAAGTCAGCTTCATCCCTAGGGTGCAAGGCTGGTTCAACATATGCAAATCAATAAATGTAATCCATCACATAAACAGAACCAATCACAAAAACCATATGATTATCTCAATAGATGCAGAAAAGGCCTTTGATAAAATTCAACACCCCTTCATGCTAAAAACTGTCAATAAACTAGGAATTGATGGAACATATCTCAAAATAATAAGAGCTATTTATGACAAACCCAAAGCCAATATCATACTGAGTGGGCAAAAGCTGGAAGTAGTCCCTTTAAAAACTGGCACAAGACAAGGATGCCCCCTCTCACCACTCGTATTCTGCATAGTATTGGAAATTCTGGCCAGGGCAATCAGGCAAGAGAAGGAAATAAAGGGTATTCAAATAGGTAGAGAGGAAGTCAAATTGTTTCTGTTTGCAGATGACGTGATTGTATATTTAGAAAACTCCATCTTCTCAGCCCAAAATCTCCTTAAGCTGATAAGCAACTTCAGCAAAGTCTCAGGATAGAAAATCAATGTGCAAAAATCATAAGCATTGCTATACACCAATAACAGACAAACAGAGAGCCAAATCATGAGTGAATTCCCATTCACAATTGCTACAAAGAGAATAAAATACCTAGGAATCAAACTTACAAGGGATGTGAAGGACCTCTTCAAAGAGAACTACAAACCACTGCTCAACAAAGTAAGAGAGGGCACAAACAAATGGAAAAACATTTCGTACTCATGGATAGGAAGAAACAATATCATGAAAATGGCCATACTGCCTAAAGTAATTTATAGATTCAATGCTATCCCTATCAAGCTACCATTAACTTTCTTCACAGAGTTAGAAAAAACTACTTTAAATTTCATATGGAACCAGAAAAGAGCTCGTATAGCAAAGACAATCCTAAGCAAAAAGAACAAAGTGGAGGCATCACGCTACCTGACTTCAAACTATACTACAAGGCTACAGTAACCAAAACAGCTTGGTACTGGTACCAAAACAGATATATAGAACAATGGAACAGAACAGAGGCCTCAGAAATAATGCCCACATCTACAACCATCTGATCTTTGACAAACCTGACCAAAACAAGCAATGAGGAAAGGATTCCCTATTTAATAAATGGTGTTGGGAAAACTGGCTAGCCATATGCAGAAAACTGAAAGTGGACCCCTTCCTTATACCTTATACAAAAATTAACTCAAGGCGGATTAAAGACTTAAATGTAAGACATAAACCATAAAATCCCTGGAAGAAAACCTAGGTAATACCATTCAGGACATAGGCATGGGCAAAGACTTCATGACTAAAACACCAAAAGCAAGGGCAACAGAAGCCAAAATTGACAAATGGGACCTAATTAAACTAAATAGCTTCTGCACAGCAAAAGAAACTATCATCAGAGTGAACAGGCAACCTACAGAATGGGAGTAAATTTTTCAATCTGTCCATCTGACAAAGGGCTAGTATCCACAATCTACAAGAAACTTAAACAAATTTATAAGAAAAATCAAACAACCCCATCAAAAAGTGGGTGAAGGATATGAACAGACACTCCTCAAAAGACATTTATGTGGCCAACAAACATATGAAAAAAAAGGTCATCATCACTGGTCATTAGAAAAATGCAAATTAAAACCACAATGAGATACCATCTCACACCAGTTAGAATGGTGATCATTAAAAAGTCAGGAAACAACAGATGCTGGAGAGGATGTGGAGAAATAGGAATGCTTTTACACTGTTCTAGGGAGTGTAAATTAGTTCAACCATTGTGGAAGACAGTGTGACGATTCTTCAAGGATCTAGAACCAGAAATACCATCAGACCCGGCAATCCCATTGCTGGGTATATACCCAAAGAATTATAAATCATTCTACTCTAAAGACACATGTACACATATGTTTATTGCAGCACTGTTCACAATGGCAAAGACTTAGAACCGACCCAAATGCCCATCAGTGATAGACTGGAAAAAGAAAATGTAGCACATATACACCATGGAATACTATGCAGCCATAAAGAAGGATGAGTTCATTTCCTTTGCAGGGACATGGATGAAGCTGGAAACCATCATTCTCAGCAAACTAACACAGGAACAGAAAACCAAACACTGCATGTTCTCACTCATAAGTGGGAGTTGAACAATGAGAACATATGGACGCAGGGAGGGGAATATCACATACCAGGGCCTGTCAGGGAGTGGGGAGCTAGGGTAGGGATAGCATTAGGAGAAATATCTAAGGTAGATGATGGGTTGATGGGTGCAGCAAACCACCATGGCACGTAACATGTAACAAACCTGCAGGTTCTGCACATGTGTCCTAGAATTTAAACTATAATAAAAAATTAAAAATTAAAAAAAATGCCCCCAGCATCTTCCAAGCCATCTGTCCCCAAGATCTTCACCCTCTCTGGAGGCTTCTCACTGCATCCCAGGCCGCTCTGTCAAAGCCCCCACCTCATGAATTATTTTGCCCTATTTGAGTATCTATTTCCAAGTCAGTTTCATGAGAGCCCAGACTATGCTCCTCTCTTTCTCGGCTGCATCTCCAGTTTTAGTACATTTTCTGGCAGTGTCAATGCTCAATAAATATTTGTTGAATCCATGATCAAAAGATTAAAGTATACAGTAATGAATAAATAATCAGGAGTCCAAGATCTCTGCCATTAAAATAATTTCTATGGGTTAAGACATTGTTCTATGTATAAATGCAAAAAGACCCGGGAGAGAATGACAAAGAAAAACATTATCACATTATCACAGCATCTCAAACTGCTTTTTAGAGCCATGAAATAAGAAAGTTTTAAGGGGATACATGGAGAGGGGAATCAGGGTGAGTGGGGGATGCTGCTATATTTGTGTTTGGTGGGCAGAATGGAGAAAAGTGGCTCTCAGTAGGAAACCTGCAAGTATTCCAAATAATATCCCATTACTTCTCACTTTGTCGGAAGCTGGCACTACTTGAAGCCATTCCACCACCAAGAATGGTTTTCTTCACTACTGATTAGTCATACAGACACATGAGCATTATGGCTGTGCCTTCTTTTCTACTGTTCATCAATTAAAACTCTCCAGAGAATCATCACATCCTTTACTTTGTTTAGTTTTTTTGTAACTTTGAGAGACTCAAGGCAGAAGATATTATCTTCTTGACTGAAAACTGAGGTAGGGAACTGGTCTTCAGCCTCATAATCCTGTGCTCTAAACCACTAAAGAAAACTGTAATTTTCTTCCATTTGTTAAGACTAAGGTTAACATTAAATTTTTTTTTTCATTTATTATAGACAAATATTTTTTGGAAAATGGTTTCAATTTTTATTAATGAGGGCATAAGCTATAACATTCCCTCAAACCTATCTTGAATCTAAATTGTTGCTGCAGTAAATGTAACTGTCATTATGGCCAAATTCCCCAGAAGGGCTGAAAAGAAGAGGAAAAAAGGAGAGCCATACATTGAATCTTCAAAGAATTCCATGATGTCAATATCACAACTTCCAATGCCTACACAGTTTATATTTTTCTATCGAAAATGAAAATTATATCTTTACCAAAGAGATAAATAGCAAAAGAGTAATATTAGAATAAAAATGCTACATTTGTTGCTGCCTTTTTGTTTTACTTGTGCAAGTTATATTTCTTTACTCTTTGTTTGCACTGACCTAGAAATTTGTGACAGATGTGTACAGCTCCCATCATTTTATATAAACTAGCTGTTATTTTTAAATGTTAAGTCCTAGGATGACTTGGTCACCATCAACTCCCTCCGTCCACCCACCATGCAACAGATGAAAGACATTATGAAAGGTTAGAAGATGGACAGAGTTGGAAACAGCCTTTCCTCGAAGACATTTTTTTTTCAAGATCAAAATCAGAACCCAACCTTTTAAAGAACAGTCCTGAATTTAATTTCCTTTCCTTTGTTCTTATTTTAATTTCCCCCTAAACTGCACTTGAGCTTCCAATGATCTTCTTTCCTATCTAATGCCAATAATTTGCACTTCTGTCATCCTTTTCATCTGGGGAATCATAAGGACATCTGAAACTTTCTCTTATGAACTTCAGAGAGCTGCCCTGACAGGTAAGTCCTTTGGTAACATTTTCAGAATGTGTAGTGAGACTAAACTTTGCAGTACAGGTTGAGTATTCCTCATCTGAAATGCTTAGAACCAGACATATTTTGGATTTTGATTTTTTTTCAGATTTGGGAATATTTCCATATATGTAGTGAGATATCTTGGGGATAGGACCCAAGCAAAATTCACTTATGCTTTAGATAGCCTGAAGGTAATTTTATACAATATGTTTAATAATTTTGTGCATAAAACAAAGCTTTGACTGCATTTTGACTTTGATCTGTCACATGAGGTCAGGTGTGGAATTTTCCACTTGTGGCATCATTTTGGGGCTCAAACAGTTTCAGATTTGGGAGCATTTTGGATTTTGAATTTGGGAATTGGAGATGATCAACTGTAATGAAAATACCTTCTGGAGCCCAGCATAGGTGATTTGAAATGGTGACTACGCTTTAGTGGACGGAGGTAGTCACATGGGATGTGGGCGTTGCATGCACTTATGATGGAGTTCATGAAGACATATGTGCCTGCAATGGCACAATCCCATCTTTAAGGAAACGGCCCTAAATCCTTTGATCTTCCTCAGTAGACCCTGTGACTTGCACAGGCTGCTTAGTTTGGGAGGTAAAATCAGTTATCATGTTTACTCTGGACATAGCAGATTGGAATTGGAAAAGAACTGCTATCCTACCCAATGCCACTGGGCTAGAGAGAGATCTACCCCCTATAGGCAGGCATTGACTAGCCAGTGGAAGTGCTTGGCAATGAGGTCATCTTATCTGATTATTTCTTTTGGAAAGTGTAAGTGCTAGGTGAACACAAAAAGGTCTAGTCACTTGAGCTTGAGTTCATTTCCTAAGGGACACAGATTTTTTTCTTGTAGAATCAAAAATATGTCACAGATTCCAGGACAAGAAGGTCTAAAATCCAAGGTGATGGTGAGATGAAAAACAATCCTCCTACCCCACATTTCCAAAAACACTTAAAATCAATTTTCATTTTACAGTTATATGATCTGTAGGTGCATTGTCCTCACAACCCCAAAGAATTTGACTGGCAGGACCAGTTCTGTTGAGAAAGAACCAAGGAATGCAATCCTTTCACAGGTTCAGGCTATGTGGGCACAGATCTGGGGCAGCCTCCCGGAAAACCTGCAGCGACCCGTAGCTCTGCAGAGAGTAAAGCAAGCTTGAAGCACTAAATGACCAATGTAGATGGTATTGTCCTATTATTACATATATACTTGAAAAACAAACTGTGTTGTATTGCAACCCTTTATCAATGTGGCTCACGACTTCTGGCATCTGTCCCCCAGGTCTGTGGCTGTCCTTGTCAAAGAATCTTTGGTTAGGCAATGAGCCACCAACAGAACAGAAAATAAGATTTGAGGATCCTGGCTCCAACCTTTCACTCTTAATTTCAGACTACAGCCTCTAATACCAAACCACATACAGCAAGAACATTCTAGGTTAACATTCGTTGGGTTGAGGGAGAGTAGTAGAGGTACATTCCTCCCTCCCCAAACGTAGATCATTCCTCGTATTGGAGAGTCACTCCTATTCTGTTTCAGTTGCCCTAGGGAGGAAAAATGTAAAGTGTGGAAACTCAGTGGCTGCTATCTGTTCTGCAGATAGTACATAGAAATGCTGTTACAAGCACAGTGTTTCCTGATCCTACAAGATTCCTCCAATGTCCCAGAGGGAGAGCGTTTTAAAACACATGACCACCTGTAAGGTCCCTGGCACCATATTCCAGGGCTCCATCTGCACTTTGCATCTTGGCCCTCCAGGGCCCTGATGGTAGATCTCCCCCAGTGGCACGGCCAACTCACAGCTACTACATCCTTAGTGACTTACAACATCCCTTCAGGTAGGTGGGCATCTTCTTTCAGATGGCATTCTTTCTTTTTAGGAACAGTTCCTGGAAGCCACCCTTGCATTCTAATTAGGGGTGATGGCTCATTTGTTAGCTCTCAGAATACAATCAATGACAATGACAGGTGATATGGTTTGACTGTGTCCCCACCCAAATCTTATCTTGAATTATAGCTCCCATAATCCCCACATGTCATGGGAGGGACCCAGTGGGAGATAATTGAATCATGGGGGAAGGTTTTCCCATGCTGTTCTCATGATAGTGAATAAGTCTCACAAGACTCAATGGTCATATAAAGGGGAGATTCCCTGTACATGCTGTCTTGCCTGCTGCCATGTAGGACGTGCCTCTGCTCCTCCTTTGCCTTCTGCCATGATTGTGAGGCCTCCCCAGCCATGTGGAACTGTAAGTCCATTAAACCTCTTTTTCTTTATAAATTACCCAGTCTTGGGTATTTCTTCATAGCCGTATGAAAATGGACTGATACAACAGGCCAGACTGTGGTACATGAATCAACTTATATGTCACCCCATCTGCTCATGGCTCAGGGGCTTCTATGAAGAGCTTTTCCAGGCACAGAATCTATGTGACCCCTCTCAGAGAAACATGCCCCTCTCTCTGTTGGAGCTCTTTTTCTTTATTTTATTATTTTATTTTCTCTTACTACAAGACATAATTGGTGCACTGCTTCCAAGGAGCAGTTGTGAAAAGGGACTTTCTGGAATTCACCTGAAATAGACCAGACCACAAAGGGGTGGTTTGAGTTTAGAGACGAGCAAGAAGAACAACTTGAGTTTTGTTAGATGACACTTTCTTTTAGGTTTACTACTGAACTAGATAAGGCAGTGCAAAAGGAAATGTACATAGTTAGTGACACAGCAAGTGAACACAGCTCCTTGATGCTGCTGTAAATTTTCAGAGACCTGTCCAGTGGTCAAGGTAGCCCCTGGGAAGTAAAGAAGCTGCTGGGTCAAATATTCCCAGAGCTGTGGGCTCTTTCAGCTGAAGGATGTAATTGAAACTCCATCCATACCCGAGGGTCTCCTATTACTATATAAGGACATCTTCACGGCCTCTCAGGATCACATACTTCCGTGTTATCCCCTCTGTGCGTCACTGGGCTCCTGCAGGGCTGCAAGTGGAATATTCTAAATTCTTTACTTAAGTCCCAGTGTCTGACTTCCTACCAAGGGAAAAATTACAAATTCTGGCTAAAACCAGGAGACATATGTTCTAGCCCTGGCTCTGTCCCTAACTCACCAGGAGTACAATCTTACACAAATCACATAATCTCCCCGGACTTTGGTTTCCTTACCTGCAGAACAAGCATTAGGTGGACTCTCTAGTCCCTTCTAGGCCTGAAATTCTGCAAGTATGATTCAATGTCTCCCTCAGATACATACATGGTAGGATTATATCCTACAGACTTCTTGGCCAGATGTAGGGAATGGATAATGTGCTTTTGAAATAAACCATAAAATTGGCACAAAAGCAAGAAATAGAAGTGAGTGATCATGGACTCTCTGCATCAAGACACCGGTCCTAAATCTCATTCAGCAAAAATGCAGAGTACTGAAGAAATTCTAGACTGACCCTCAATCATTTCATGTCCTAGACAGTAAGTTGGGGAGGTAATCTAGATCTGGAATAGATTTAGAAAAATGTACCAGGGAAGTGAATTCAATGGGAACTTTAGGAAAAAGTAAATTCTCAGTACCAGGGTAGCACATGGTCAAGTGGCAGACAGGCCTTAAAAAGTCTAAGGAAAACACTGAAGTGTCTCATCTGCATGGATACTAAAAGGGAAAAGAGTTCAGGAGCTTGAGGGGGTATCCTAGAATTTTTTCATCTGATTATGCCATCATGATAGATGCTAAACAGTAAGAAAAAAAGAAACATAGGGAAATAATTGTAATTACATAGAAAATTCTCAGAAGAATCCAAATGTAATAAAATATGTGTAACTCTGGAAATAGTAACTTAAAAACCAATAATTAATTTCCTGTCTCAGTAAATGTATAGCCATCTATCTAACTGATAGAGCCAGAACTAAGGAGAATTATCCTAGAATCTTGTTTTTCACTTCCATCTCATTTAATCAATTACCCAAACCTTTCTATTCCTAAATGTATTTCATAGCTAAATATATCTCATTTTCATCTCCACTTCTGCTGCCTTAATTCAGTTCTTTGCTTTGTGTCTCTTAGTTTACTGCAGAAGCCTCATAATTTACACCCTTACACCATTCTCCAAATTCCTTCTAGAGAGATCTATTTAACCCACAAATTTGATTATGTCACTTTCCTGCTTGAAACTAGTCATCAGATCCCCACTGTGTATAGAATTCTAAACTCCAAAGCATGGTATAAAAAGCAATTATCTGGCTTTATTTCTAGGCATGCTCATTCCTAAATGGGCCTCCAGCCAAAACAAACTCTTTGAAACTCCCACAGGAACTGTCTGAATATGCCAACCTCATGTGTCTACCTCCACATCTTACTGCAGTCGCCATCTGCCTTCCCGGATATCCACCCTGAACAAGGTGCCCCTCTGAGTTTCTACAGCACCCTGAACATATCTCCATAACATCATGTTTGTTTTTGTTGCAAACCTCAATTAACTTCTTTATCTTCCTGACTAGAATATAAACTCTGTGATAGTTCTATCAACAAGGCCCAGGGCCATGGTTAGATAACCTCCTGCATACACATCATAGTGTGTATGTTGGCCTGTACCCCACACAAATTTTCCCATACACACACTCACTAACACTCCCCAAATACTCTCAGAGACCCACGCCCACAACACATGTTCTCTCATCTTTCAGCAAGATGTCAACATCACACCCAAATGTGGTATCAACGTCACCCATACAGTGGGGTATACAGTGACAACATCCCTCATAGACAAAATGTCAGTGTCACCCACAGACATAGTGCCAACATCCTACACAGACTTAATTTTTGTCCATATTTATCCCCAGTGTCTCTCAGCGCATATGACATAGTAGATGTTTAATAAAGGCACATTGAATGGAGAGCTACGGGCTGCTGCAGGAGGAATGGATTTGTATGAGGGTTTGATGTCTGAGCTAAGCAAAAGGTGCATATAGTTTCTTAATGAGCCATCGGTAGGTCTGCTGGCCAAGACGAGTAACATCCCAGGAGATGGTGAGAAAACTGACTGCAAAGTCATCTCAACCCACTGTCAGTGTTCTTAGGGGAATAAACTATGGGCACAGAAAAAACACCAGAAATTCAGAGGAGATAGGTACTATGGTTTTCAATACAGACTGGTTAGATTCATGTCAACCTCAGAAATAATGATAATAACATTTTGTGAATATTTAGTAAAAAGTAGTTGTTTTCACCAGGAATATTGGAATCTCACTTCTTGTGGGATAGGTTAATTAGTCTATTGAATCAAAAAAATGAGACAGACTCCATGTACATAGACTTCAGTGGTCTATTTGACAAGGTCTACACTACTCTGTTCTAAATGAGGTGAGCACAGAAAAGCAAGAGGATGTTGTCTTGGTGTCAGTTAGTGGGAAATGCAAGTAGGTTTCTAGTGGTTAGTCCTAGAATTTTGTTCTCAACCTCGTCCTATTTAATAGTTTATCCAACACTTGAATGAAGATCCAGGAGGCACATGGAGTGGATTCATAGATAACATCTGTCATCAAAATACTTTGCAAGCCAATATAAGGAACCTGAGAGGATTCAATAATAAGAGGAAATGGTATGCATGTTGTCGGATGAAATTTGACAAGAACAAAATATAAGGCTCTGTAACATCTTCTCAAACAGCATCTGTATGTAGGTTGAGGGAACTTGTGGCTCCCCACACTATGAGTTAACGGTGTGATTTAAGGCTTCCCTAAAGGAAGTAAAGAACAGATAACGAAGGAAATGGTAGTCCCGTTTTCTGCATGCTGATGGATCACACTTGGAATATTGCTTTTGACTCAGGTAGGTACCAGACTTTCTAGGTGGATCAAAGGTGGAAAAGAGCAAGTGAAGTATTTAAGAGTCCTGTAACCATGTCTGAGGAGAAAGAGTGGAAGGATCTGGAATGAACGGCCTGCAGAAGGGATGGTCCAGGGGCCACAGCAAATCGTCCTTCATATCAGAAGGGCTGTCACATAGAAGTGAGATCTTGTTGGTCTGTGTGATTGATCCCACAGGTAGAACTGAGACCAACAGGTGCAAGTTGCTGGATACAATCACATTTTGTATTATAAGCAAGAGACTTAGAATAGTCACATCAATAATTAGAAAGACATTTACCAATATGTTGTTGGTTCAATCTTTAGATGGGAGATCAGCCTGAATGAACTTCTAATGTGCATTTTTCCCTCCATGTAAAAAATATGCCAGTAGCCTTGTATGGTCAATTGTAAAAATAACCCCAAATTCCTCCCATACCTTTATGCACACTCCTTTGCAATGTGGTGTGGTAGCATCTCCCATCAAGAGTTTATTTCTCAACCCCTTGAATCTGGGCTTGGCCCTGTGACTTTTTTTTGATTAATGGGGCATCAGCAAATGTGACTCATTTGTGAAGGAGAGGCTTCAAAAGTGCTTGTGTCTCAGGGCTTTCCCTAATGCTGCCCCTGGGAATCCTGAAACTGCCATGAACCTAGACTGGCGAGCTGGAGACTCTTGACTCAGCCAGCTGTCTCACTCCAGTTAACTACCAGTACCAACAGCCAAACACGTGAGTAAGGACATCGTAAACCAAGCAGATCCCAGAAGAACGGCCCACTGACCACAGGTGGATGACTGAGCCCAGGCAAGACCAGCAGAACTGCTCTGCTAAGCCCAGTTCCAACTGCTGTATCAGAATCATTAACTAATAAACGATTGTTATTTTCAGCCACCATGCTTTGGGGTAGTTTATAACACAGCAAAAATGGATATATCATAGGCAATACTCTGTCCCAAAATATATCCAGGTTGTTTTCTTTCACGCACTCTTTTCAAGGGGGGATTTGAGCATTTTTCTTTTCTTAGTTAAGACAGAATCTACTCTTAATAGTACAGGGAACCAATGTGGTGGGTTGAAATGGTGGAAAAGTAGCGGAAAATACGGCAAACCCAGAAAGACTTCTGTTGGCCTAAGATTTTTTTAAAAGGTTTACTGACATGGATAATTGATTACATGGTTGACTGTCCAACTGACGGCTGAATGAGAACAGTCGCCAAAGCCATGAGCCGACAGACAATATGGGGCTGCAGCTTTCGGTTTCTCCACTAACGGTAGAGGCAGATTGAAACTTTTCATTACCAGGTCTTCACATGTCTTCATATTCTTGATATTAATAACTCCACTTTGTATAGCACATTTTGGTTCAAAAAACATTTTTGACATCCATTATTTCAGGTATTTATAGTTAGCATTTCGCACTGAGAATATTAGAGGTATGTACAACAGATGCATTTAGTTGGGGTGTGCAGAGAGTTAGGTTCTTGCATCAATTTTGCTGCAGCAGTGCAGAACGAGAGTGGAGGAGAGGAGGGAGCAGGGTTAATAGGTCAAGGGAAAGCCCCCTCCCACCCCCTCAGCACCGCCCTGCTGAGGAAATAAGCTGTTCTCCCTATTCCATTGCCCGCAGAAGGCAGCTGAAGACTTCCCATACTGCCGTAGTTCAAAGGACCAACGCTCAACACATGATTTCCTCTATTTGCTTTCCTTGGTGTGATAGCCTCTTGAGGAAATGCTATTTATTTATTTACGTATTTCTTTATTTTTAGGAACATGTCTGGCCTGATTTGAAGCTGCTACATCTACTTTGAAAGAAGCCACATAACCTTTGCTGCTACTTCATTTCAAGTTTTCCTTTGAATTTTCTATTTCCTGAGCTGGGAGAAATGAGAGGATGCACCCTCTCCCTTTCTAACAGGTTAGACCAGGCAGAGGCCTAAAAATGGCGTCTCAGGGTTTTATCAAAGCCTTGAACTTCTGGCAGGAGCTTCCTTCTTTCAAGCTATGCCGGCTTTCTTCATGACTTTGATTCACATCTTCTTTGTCCTGCTATTACAAAGGAGCTGTCCATGTCTTCTCCACTCTCTTGGGGAGTATATGTATTCCTTGTTTATTCCTCCTCTAAATCAGAGTCTTATAAATATTCAGAAGTGCTGGCCAGCAAAGAGACTTGGAGTCAGGATTTTTGGGTTGGTGGATTTTTTTTCCAATTCAAGCTTTTGGACACGTGTTCCTCCAGGAAGCTTGGAGCCTTATCCTACTGCAGACCTCCAGATCCTTTGAGGCCAACTGGCTGGCTAATTAATTAATGGACCGGCTGATTTAGCAAATGGCCTTACAGAGGTGTTACTAAAACACTAAAAAACAGAACGATTTTATTTACAACCTCATCATCCCACAAGTCAAACAGGATTCATCTTCCGTAGGGCTCTGTGATGGTTGTTTCTCAGGACTAGATATTGTTAGAGATCAAATATAGTTATATATATTTCTGTGTCTATATATATATATATATATATATGGATGTATATATAGGTGTGTGTTTATATAGATATATATATATAGACATTTATGTATATATGTCTACGGATCTAACACTCCAAAAATCTTAGCATGGAAAACACTTTGAACTTATAAATAAGCCATTTTCACTTAAAGATTCCCCTTCTTTCACTAGAAACCTTTTACACTTTGTTTCCCCTCCCCACCTCAACACCCTGCTAGCTTCCCTCCCACCCCCCACCCTGGAACAACAGATTGGGTTAGTGCTAGAAAATGTCTTTTATGGGCAACTTAGGCAACATTCCGTTGTCAATACAATCAACAGAAGTCAGAAATGTCAATATTAGGCAACAGTCAAAAAATTCAAATGAGTTTCTGGAAGTTGTTCCATTTCAGCCCCCTAGTAATTTCTGAGTAATTCCTTCATTTGCCTTCCAAACACTTGGCACAATATTATCTTCAGGGCACAAGCTATGCCCATTAAGCAAATTTATCCAAGCAAAACTGTGCAGCAAAAAGTGGTTTAACATATTCCAAGGTTCAATGTCTCTTTTTTAAGGCAGCTGCTCCTCTCAGCAAAAATAGAATTTAGGGAAGTGCCAACCACAGCATCCTGGGGACTGAAACATCTTTACACATAGTTGTTCTATTTTCAAATAAGAATATATATATAGATATAGATGATGTTTAAACATTGCAAAGCTTAAAGGCATTCACAGAGAGATTAATTGTTGTGTGTGACTATAAGTAACACAAGGCTGAGATTAATAATCTGCTCAGAGAACTATTTTTCATGCGACACACAGAATCTTATTGTGTGTATTTCATTATTGCTATCTGATGGTCCCAAGGGTTCACTGTGTTTATATAAAGATTCCTTGCCTCTTTCCAGAGCCTGGAATGTTTATATTTTAGCACATAATCTTCAGAGACTCTGATGTGAAAAGTAGAATGTGTTTTTAAAAACTCGTTGTGTATTTTCCAGAGTTATTTACAAAAAAAAAATTTTTATTGAATTTGCATTGATCAGTAGTTCCCAACCAGAGGTGACTTTGCTTCCCAGGGGACATTGGGCAATGACTGGAGATATTTGTGGTTGTCACAACTAGCATCGAGTGGACAGAAGCCAGGAGTGCTCAAAACCTACCATGCACAGGACAGGCCCCACAGCAAAGAATTATCCAGCCCCAAATCTCAATAATGCCAAGGCTGAAAGACACTGGTATAGAGCGTCTATCTTGGTTATACATGACAACACTACAGTTTGTTCCATCCAATAGAGAATGTCGCCCATAATATACCCAGAGCAACCACCAGTGGCCTTTGCAATTATAACCCTGTTGGCCTGAGAATACACATCCCCCGTTTCTGTGCATGTCTAGTCAGGGAACTGACCACCAAGTTGGAAGTGAGAGATTCTAGGTCATTTTACTTATGGCTTAAATAGCTCAATATGTTAAAGAGAATTTGGTGCTATCCTTGTTAGTCATGGCAAATTTCCTGGCTGCCTATAGAGAAAAGAGGCAAAGAAATCTATTCTCAGCTGATATGATGGGAAAAGAATTTGATATCTTAAAAAGAAATACTCAGTATTTACCACTGATTTGCAGCATGACCTCGGGGAACTCCCTGGCTTAAAAGCACAATGACTCATGAGTTCTCCGTGATCTGTGACATATTGAGAGCACATAGTGTTGCCTCTCTCTGTTTATTCTTCTAATTCGTTAAAAGAATCAACTATGATTTATTGAAAACAATATATATATATATATAGTGTGTGTGTGTGTGTGTGTGTGTGTGTGTGTGTGTGTGTGGTGTCAGCCTACCTTTTTCCTCCATCAACAGGGAGGGTTTGATTAGGGGATGAACCCCAAATGCTACTACTGCCCTACTCCAACAGATCCTATTTTCACTGTTTCTACATCCATCTCACCTTTGGGAACCATAAAATAAGTGTTTTGCTTGAAGTGTAGTCAGGGAGAGTCCTCATATGGATGTAACTATTCAAGTGTTTCTTCAGGTTTTTACAATAGGTAGAACTTGCAGATATACATTTATCAATTTATTATTAATCATTAGTGTTATGAACATCAAAATTTCAAGGTAGCAACTATCCAGCTTTCTAAAGTAAAATCAAAGTGCTTTTATTTTGCACCAAGTATAGTCTTAATCATGGCCTTCAGGTATATTTCCTTACTCCAAACATAATTCAGTGGAAAGACCAGGCAGTGACCTGGGGCACTTGTTTTTATCTCTCTGAAACTTATTTGTAAATTGGAGATAATAATCATATTTTATAGAGTTCTTGTGAGTTGAAAATGTTAGAAGTCTTAATACTGAAAATATCTACTAAGGATTAAGCAGGTGGATGAAAAACTCACCCCTGGATTCAAGTTAATGAAATCTTGGAATTCCGCAGAATAAACAGAAAAGCCTAAAAACTTGCTAAGAGAGGGAAGAATATTGGCCACATGCCAAGGGATGCAAATCAAACTGGTGTCAGACATTCTGTTAGCAACAGAAGACACTAGTAGATAGGGTGGCAAAGCTTCAAAGTTTTGAAGAAAAACGAATTTGGTCCTTGCATTCTATACCCAGCCAAACAATCATAAAGTACACGGTCAAATTAAAACACCTCCTGATATGCAGTAACTCAAAAAGTACATCACTCCTATATCCCATATGAAAGTACTCCCCGGGGGCTTTCTTACTACCAAAATAAAGCAATTTTCAAAAGAACATGAGACATAAGAGAATGTGCAATGAAGTGTGACCAAGAAGAGGTGAGGAAGCTGCAAACAAAGTTAAAAAGAATTAAATAGATACTAATTGGATATTCTCCTTGGAGCAGCAAAAGTTTGTGGCACAGGATCATATTACTCTTTTATGGATTCCTTTATGAATAATGTTTCTATAATTATAATAGTCCAATACTCCTTCAGAGTAAATATCTAAGGACAAAACATGGAAGGCAGTTACAGGTGGCTAGTTGAATTTAAATGTCATAAATGTTAGCAATAAATGATAATATGACTAACCAAAACTGGGAAACAGGGAGGGATAGAGGGATAGAGAAAGAAGATAGTGTATTTCAGCAAAAGTCTTAATTTTTCCTAGTAGAAGTCAACAGATACTGTCTGAAATAGATAATCACACAGTAGAGAACTACAGGGCTTGATACAGATGTCCTTTATAACTCTTACTCTTGCATTTCCCTGGAAGTATTCAACATGCAATTTGATAAGATAAATAAATTAGAGGTATGAAATCGGCAAGAGGAGGAAAAATGATCACTATTTGTAGATAACATGCTTATGTAAGTGTAAAATCACAGAGAATTTTCCAAAACACTTGCAAGCCATAAATTAGATCAATAAGTTAGTAGAACATGTCAGAAATCAATAGCCTTAATAAAGTGTAAAAAATGACCAAAAATAGCAGTTCAGGTAAGTTACCATGAAAAATCTTAACTAGTGTATATAACCCTTATGAGGAAAATTTTAAATCATTTCTGATGGATACAAAAGTGACAACTAGCAAATGGAAAGACTTAATGTGATAAATTAGAAGACTCCATCTCACGAAGATGTCAATTTCTCCTAAGTTATTTTATAAACGTAGCATGTTGCAAACAAAATACCAATTAGAGAAAACTGATAAAGAAGAGCAGTTATTATTTATACTAGATATATTGTAAAATATGCTATAAAACCTCAATAATTTAAACAGTGTGGCACTGTGTCATGAATATAGACAGACAAGAGGAAAAGAATAGAGAGCCCATGCATCCTCCAAAATAGTCCCTAAAATTAACAGAGAGTAAAGATGATAGCTCAAGTCAGTGGGGTGAAAGAGGAGTTTTTAACAAACGTTTTGGGGACAACCAAGCAGTGATGAAATAATATGAAAGAGGATATCTACCTCTCACTGTATTCCAGATAAACTTCAAAAAATTCTAGAAAAGAAATGTGGTTTTTAAAAATTCCATTAAAGCATAATACCAAAAGAAAACATAGACAATACCCTTTAGCACTTTCTAGCAGACTCAAAATCCAGACATCAAAAAAACAAAAAAGAGGTATCATTTCAAGTATATAAAAATCAATATATTTTCAGAGCAAAACATCCTGAGCTAGTCACAAGACAAATGGCAAACTGGGAAAAATATTTCTAACTTATTTTACAGACAAACAGCTCATCTCTCAAGTGTATAAGGAATTCCTAGATGGTGCTTAGGAAACAGCCAGTAATCAGTAGAAAAAAAAAATGGGCAGAGGATATTAACAGAAAGTTCACAGAAAAATAAGACAAATAGACTCTAAGTGTTTGAAAAGTTGCTTAGCCTCATTTATAATAAGAGAAACGCACGTTAAAATTATGCTAAGATATGAGATTTTATCTAGCAGGTAGCAAAAATCTGAAATCTGTGATAAAAATGTGACATGACAGAAACTCATTCATTGCCAATAAAATAGTGTAAATTTTCACATTCCCCATGGAAAGCAATTTAACAATATTGACCAAACGTAAAAATACATTTACTCTTTGACTCAGTAATCCAATTCTAAGGAACTATCCTAAACATACACCTCATATTTACATAATTATATGTGTGCAATATTTTTTATGGTGACATTTATGTTATAATAAAAAATTAAAACAATGTCATTCAGTAAATGAATAGTTAATTAAAGTATGGCACAGCCACTGAGTGAAATACTATGTAGCTACCAAAAGAAAGATAGAAAAAAGAATGAGAATGCTCTCTGCGTACTGATATGGAAATATCTTCAGAAAAGTGTTGCTGATAGTATATCAATCCAATATGCTGTACATATGCTTGTTTTTGCTCTCTCTGCATAAAGAATCACTAAAAACATAAATAAACTAATAAAAGTGGCTACCTATGCACAAGAAGCTATACAGTAAACAAGAAACTAATAAAAGTATCTGTCTATGTTCCTAGAAAAATTAAACATAGAATTAGCATACGGCCCATCAATTCAACTTCTACCTATATACACAAAAGAACTGAAAGCAGGGACTTGAACAGATATTTATTTATACACTAGTGTTAACAGCAGCTTTCTTCACAATAGACAAAAGATGGAAAGGACTCCAATGTCAGTCAATAAATGAATGGTTAAACAAAATATGATACATACACACAATGGAATATTATTTAGCCTTGAAAAAGAATGAAATTCTGATACATGGTACAGTACAGATAAATCTTGAAAACATGCTAAGTGAAATAAGTTAGACACAAAGGGACAAATATTGTGTGATTCCACTTATATGAGGTACCTAGAACAGTCAAATTCATAGAAACAGAAAGTAGAATAGAGGTTACCAAAGGCTGAGGGGGAGGCAATGGAAGTTATTGTTTCATGGGTACAGCTTTTCTATTTGCGGTGATGAAAAGTTTTGGGAATGGATGATAATGATGGTTGCACATCAGTGTGAATGTACTTAATACCACTGAACTATACCCTAGAATATTAAATTTATAAATTTTATGTTATGTATATTTAGGACAATAAAAAAAGAGTGAGACCTATAGAGTCAGGAGTTGGAGGTAGGATCTGCAGGAGTGACACTACTCAACATATACCTTTGGAACTATGTAAATATATGACTGTATTACCTAATAAGAACAACAAATCAATTCTTATGAAAGATCTGGATTTTTCTCTTTGATCATTTCTTTGATTTTTTCTATATGCAAAATATTGCTTTATTTTGTTTCAGTGTTCTAAGTACCTTCATCGATATTAGACTGTTTAGATAAACATCTCCGCACCAGAATACTAAGCAGCAATGATTAAGAATCAACTGGATCTCTATTTCTTTCATTGCAATGTATACACTCACAGGCTCTGGCCTTCAGGCAGTACTCTCAATTCTGATCTTTGCAGGGCTGGTTAATTGCATGCACTGCATCTGCCTTGCAATCTCAGCCATCTACGTCAGGGGAGGGTGAGAGAGGGGAGAGTGGAGGGCTTCACTTTGTGCCTCACACTCCAAGACCACTTGTCAGGGCAACCGTGCCTTGGGCATGACGAGGTCTTTCCTTTGCCCCTCATTTCATTGGGCTCTTTTCACTTGCATGAGTCCTACCTGTGGCAGGGGAACTGAAGGCCAGGGGGATTAGCAGCAGCAGGAACAGGGTTCCAGACTTCAGTCTCTGTCTGCAGCTGCCCAGCCTCCTCCTGAACATTTCCGTGCAGTGAGGGCACCCACCGTGGCGGTACCCATTCCACTGGTTCATGGCTCCACTGGCAGAAATTTATCTCTTGGGTAATTGCTACCCATTGGTCCTGACTTTATTTTCTGGAATCAAAAAAAGTAAATATAATTCCTCTTCCGTATATAACTTCAGATATTTGAAAACCACTAGCATGTTCCTCCCACCAATGCATTGCCTCTCTAGGTCCTCAGGGTTCTCCATAGACCTGCATCTTTTTAATGGCTAGAATCCCAGTAACTCCTGAACCCGTCCAGCTCCCCTCTCTCAATGTTTCTTGGATCTATAGCCAATTTCCATGGATACACTTTTGATTCCATTCCTACTTCACCTATGTCTTACAAATCTCTTTTCCCCCTTAGAAACTGAATAGAAATGTGAGCCCAAATGAAACACATCTGTGTGAAGGTTGGTGTGGTAGGCAGTCTTTAGAATGCCCCTCAATGGTCTTCATTCCCTATAGAATCTTCTCCCCTTGAATGTGGGCTGTGCCTAGTGACTTGCCTCTAATGAATGAAATATAGCAAAAGTGATAGAATGCCACTTTGAGGAGGTTATAAAGCATGACGACTTCAGTCTTGCCAACATCTTTTAGGCCCTTCTCACTTGCTCTGATGAGTCTGGCTCTCAAGTGAGCTGCCCTGATGGAGAGGCCCGCATGTCCAGAATGAAGCATACCTTCTGCCAACAGCCATCAAGGAACTGAATCCTTCCTACAACCACGTGGGCAACATTCGAAGGAAATCCCCCCCTAGCCAAGCTTTGAGATGACTACAGCCCCAGTGTACACCTCCATTGCAGTTTTATAAAAGACCTGAGACAGAGGACCCAGCTAAGCCATGGGCCAGCCAGGATTTCCTGACCTATAATAACTGTGAAATAGAATAATAAATGTTGTTGTTGTAAGTCACTACTTTTCTGACTAATTTGACATGCAGCAATAGATAACTAATTTCAGGAACAAGGACAAAGAGTAAGAACTAATCATGGCCCACCTGAACCATTCACGTACTAAGCAGAGACAGTCAGAAGAACAAGTATTGACATCCTGCCCCTGTCCCCCTCTACAGGTAGAAATAAAATTTTCCTGATTCCCAGTACTTTGGGAGGCTGAGACAGGCAGATTACCTGAGGTCAGGAGTTCGGGACCAGCCTGACCAATACGGTTATACTTTGTCTCTACTAAAAATACAAAAATTAGCTGGGTATGGTGGTGGGCACCTGTAATCCCAGCTACGTGGGAGGCTGAGACAGGAGAATTGCTTGAACCTGGAAGTCAGAGGTTGCAGTGAGCTGAGATCATACCATTGCACTCCAGCCTGAGTGACAGAGCATGAATCCATCTCAAAAAAAAAAAAAATTACCACCTTAACCATTTTTTTTTTCAAAAGGACTTCACTCATGGAAGAAAAACTTTACTTGCTGTTTCAAAAAAATATTTGTGTGAAGCAGAAATTGGTTTCAATAACATTAGTAAAGAATACATCCTGGAAAATAGATAAAACTGGATGTAAAATTCTGGCAGCAATTTAATTGGACAGTCCCAGATGGTTAGGCTGAGGATAAATGTCTTGTCTGTGGGGAATTTTGGACGACACCTGGAGAAAGATTACACTGCGCCTAAACCAAATTGAGTTGCTTTCACAAGCCTTGTAAAATTTCATATAGTAAAAGGTTTTTTCTATATGCACTTCAATTTCATAGCAAGAATGGCAAAGAATACCTAAATGCAGAAGAGAGCATTCATGCAATATATCTAACTACTTGATATAATAACACATACAATTCAAAAATGATTACACTCTCATTATATCTAGGGTTTCTGAAACTACAAGGTAGTAGTTATGGAAAGCATGGCCCCTGGTTTCAACATCTAAAAAGCAGCCACCTCTTTCTATGAGTGTTCTCCTTTTGTGATTTTTTCTTCATTTTTCTTAGTCAACGATACTGTTGCTGCTTCTTAACAAAACTGGTAAAAACAAAATTATAATCATTGAACATAACACTCTGACAATCAAGACACTTAAAACCTTCAATCATCTGGGGCAAAAAAGCACTGTGTAGAACTCTGATTAACAAAGTGGGCTGGACGCGGTGGCTCACGCCTGTAATCCCAACATTTTGGGAGGCCGAGGCAGGCAGATCAATTGAGGTCAGGAGTTCAAGACCAGCCTGGCCAACATAGCAAAACTCTGTCTCTACTAAAAATACAAAAACAAGCTGGGTATGGTGGCGCGTGCCTGTAATCTCAGCTACTCAGGAGGCTGAGGCAGGAGAATCGCTTGAACCCCGGAGGCAGATGTTGCAGTGAGCCAAGATCACGCCACTGCACTCCAGCCTGGGCGACAGAGCGAGACTCTGTCTCTAAAACATAAAAAAAATCAAAAATCTTAAAAAAACGAAGTGGTCATCAGTTTCCTGGCTTGAGAACTTCCACAACTTTCCTGATCAGGTCATCACTGGAGGTCTGATTTAAGTTTGTTTGAAAGCTGATGTATGAACATTCTGGTTCTGGAGTGATGTGAATAGTTCCATAAGTGCTATCCGATTTCGTTCCTTTCATCGACTACCCACAAGGATTGAACAGTGTGGCATCAATGACAGAACCTGGTGTCAGGGCACCAATTCCAGTCCACGTGACATCCTCTGCAGTGACACAGTCTTTCATGGAGAAAGAATCTTCCCTTAACTGCTAGGTCAAACTCTCTCATCAGCATTTCCAGGGTTTGATCTGGCTTACTACCCCACTCTCTGGGAAATCTGGAATATGTAAGTACCAACAGTCAGAATTTATATGTCTTATATAATACACTGCTCCATTTGGAAAAATTGCTTTAAGGAACTCAATTTCTTTCTGAAAATCCCAGGTACCTTTAGTGAGAAGGCTTCATGAAATCCTTAGGAAAATAAAAGAAGCTTTGAATTGAGTCAAATCCATTGTAATCCCTAGCAAGCTTCAAAAGGAGAACCAGTGCTTTCGGCCAGAGGGTGGTACAACATGTCTTCAAAATGAAATGTCTCGACCGGGCACGGTGGCTCAGGCCTGTAATGTCAGCACTTTGAGAGTTCGAGGCGGCAGGAACACTTGAGTCCAGGAGTTCGAGGCTGCAGTGAGCTATGATTGGGCCACTGCACTCCAGCCTGGGTGACAGAGCAAGACTTTCTTCCTAAAACAAACAAACAAAAAGGTATGCCCCCATTCAGATCTCAGAATGGTATGAAACACCCCAGATCCTTGGTTTGCATTGAGTTGTTTCCAGGAGAACCAGACTTCTAGCAGCTTCTCGGTCCCTTAGGAAAAACGTGCAGCTCCCAGTGAACAAACCAACAGCCACAGAAAATCAACTAAATTAAACCTCCTCTCCTGCCATTGCTGTCACTGCTGCAGATGGTTTCAGCTGTGTTACTACAGTTCAGATTGCTTTTTGTTTTGCTATAGTTTTACATTAATTTTTTTTTAAAAAAAAGGACTCATGAACTTTTCCCAGCTTTTTGTGAGCCAGAGTTGAATGTGAGTCTCTCCAAAATAGAGGCAGATACAGTTTAGTCTCTGGTAATCCACTGCTTTCCCATTAGAGAGAGTAGAATAAGCACTAGCTAATGTTTCTGGACATTTTATGTAAGCCCATCTAAGCCATGTTTAAGCATCCAGTTTAGTAGTGTTAAGGGTATTCACATTGCTGTGAAACTGATCTCCAGAACATTTTTATCTTGCAAAACTGATACTTTATACCTATTGAACAATTCCCCATTTCTCTCTCCTCCCAGCCCCTGTCAACCACCATTGTATTTTCTGTTTCTGTGAATTTGACTACCTTAAATATTTAATATAAATGGGAGTATACAATATTTGTCTTTTTGCAACTAGCCTATTTCACTTACCATATGTCTTCAAGATTTATCCATAATGTAGCATGTGAAAAGATTCCCTTCTCTTTTAAGGCTGAATAATATTCCATTGTAGGTATAGAACATCTCTCATTTATCCCTTCATCTGGCAATGGACATTTGGGTTGTTCCCAACTTTGGCTATTGTGAATAATGGTGCTCTGAACATGGGTGTGCAAATATTTCTTCAATATTCTGCTTTCAGTTCTTTTGGATATTTGTCCAGAAATTGAAATGCCAAATCATATAGTAGTTCTATTTTTAATTTTCTGAGGAATCTCCATAGCGTTTTAAATGGCAGCTGCACCATTTATTTTCCCACCAACAGTGCAGAAAATTTCCAATTTCCCCAGATTCTCACCAACACTTGTTATTTTCTATGTGTGTGTTTTTTATTATGGTAGTGATCCTGATGGATATGAAGCAATATCTCATTGTGGTTTTGATTTGCATTCTCTAATGATTGGTGATACTGAACATCTTTTTATATGTTTGTTGTCTATTTGTATATCTTCTTTGGAGAAATGTCTATTCAAATCCTTTGCTCATTTGGATTTTTTGTTGTTGAGTTGTAAGAGTTCTTTATAGATTCTGAATATTAAACCGTTATCCACTATGTAATCTGCAAATATTTTCTCCGTTCCATAGGTTGCCTTTCCACTCTACTGATTGTTTCCTTTGATACACAGAAACGTTTCTTGGGTATGACACCAAAAGCACAGGCAACAAAAGTAAAGATAAACAAATAGGACTAGAGGTGACTTAAAAAAATCTGTCCAGTCATCAACCTATGCACACTATCTGTTTCTCTATTGATCTACTCCCCGACCCTGCCTCACACAAACAATCCATTGGTTACCATGGTTCTGACAACCTCTAGTCTCTAAACTACAGCTAGCTGATTTACAACCCCCTTTCTTCATTGCTACCATCTGAGAAATTGGGGCTCTCCAGGGCCAGCTTTGGAGACAGTTCCTAAATAGGAACATTTTTACACTATTGGTGGTACTGTAAACTAGTTCAACCCCTGTGGAAGACAGTGTGGTGATTCCTCAGGGATCTAGAACTAGAAATACCATTTGACCCAGCCATCCCATTACTGGGTATATGCCCAAAGGATTATAAATCATGCTGCTATAAAGACACATGCACATGTATGTTTATTGTGGCACTATTCACAATAGCAAAGACTTGGAACCAACCCAAATGTCCATCAATGATGGACTGGATTAAGAAAATGTGGCACATATACACCATAGAATACTATGCAGCCATAAAAAATGATGAGTTCATGTCCTTTGTAGGGACATGGATGAAGCTGGAAACCATCATTCATTCAGCAAACTATCACAAGGACAAAAAAACCAAACACCGCATGTTCTCACTCATAGGTGGGAATTGAACAATGAGAACACTTAAATACAGGAAGGGGAACATCACACACCAGGGCCTGTTGTGGGGTGGGGGGAGGGGGGAGGGATAGCACTAGGAGATATACCTAATGTAAATGACGAGTTAATGGGTGCAGCACACCAGCATGGCACATGTATACATATGTAAAAGACCTGCACGTTGTGCGCATGTATCCTAGAACTTAAAGTATAATAAAAAAATTTAAAAAAATAAAAATAAAAAAATGCAAAGAGAGAAAAAAAAAAGAAGTTGCCTGGTTTGAGTTATCCTTTGCCTAATCCCTTGTGTCTGTTCCTCACAACCAGAATCATTTTTCTCTCTTCCAGTGGCACAAAACTGCTTACAGCTGCCTGAAATGCAAAAATTAATGTGTGTCACCCTGCTTTGAGTACAACACTCTTTCTTATTTTACTACTATTAGGAGACACATTCATTTAATATTAAAATTTATGATACACTTAGAAAAACAGCACAGTACACTTTTGGATCTTTTTAACTTTTTCTGTTAGAATATTGGCTGCAGCAGATTTTCGTTAGCATTTAAATTAGTCTTTAAAAAATTCTATTCTAAAATGAATTATCTCTCTTATGATATTTACCTAAATTTATCAAACATACCAAAATATGTAACTTCAGCAACAAATGTTGTGTTCCAGTCCCATTCCTCACATTTGTAGGGCCTAAGAATACAAACAGAAGTTCACATACCATATGACTAAGTATTTAAAAGTATAAATCAAGTTAACACACTATTATATAAAATATGTACAGTTGATTTGCATTATTCTCACATTCTGTATTTGCTAATTTGCCTACTAGCTAAAATTCATTTGGAGTCCCAAAATCAGCTCTTGAGTCACTGTTGTGGACATTCACAGACTGTAAAGGAAGGCAAAGATTTTGAGTTGCCAATGCGCATGTTCCCAGCTGAAATGAACAAGGCGAAGCTCTGCCTCCTCCTTTCAGCTCTTATCTGGTAAATGTGTGTCCTTTTTATGGTCTATTTAGTGTCACGTGTTTCAAGTTTTAGTGCTTTTTGTTGGTAGTTTTGCTGTTTAGAATGGCCCCAAGTGTCACGCTGAAGTGCCAGACAGCAGGGTACTGGTCCATCGCCCATTAGGAACTGGGCCTCACAGCAGGCAGTGAGTGGCCAGTGAGTCAGCGGAGCCTCATCTGTACTTACAGTCACTCCCCATCACTCGCATTACTGCCTGAACTCTGCCTCCTGTCAGATCAGTGGTGGCATTAGAGTCTTATAGGAAAACAAACCCTATGGTGAACTGCACATGCGAGGGATGTAGGTTGTGTGCTCCTTATGAGAATCTAATGCCTGATGATCTGTCACTGTCTCCCATCACTCCCAGATGGCACTGTCTAGTTGCAGGAAAACAAGCTCATGGCTCCTACTGATTCTACGTTATGATGAGTTATATAATTATTTCATTATCTATTTCAATGTAATTATAATAAAAATAAAGTGCACAATAAATGTAATGTGCTTGAATCATCCTGAAACCATTTCCTACCCCCAGGTCTGTGAAAAAATTGTCTTCCATTAAACCAGTCCCTGGTGCCAAAAAGGTAGGGGATCGCTGCCATACAGTGCCCCTAACTGCAGGGAGGCTGTGATGAGCATTATGGAGAACATACAATGGGCATCGCTCAGACATGAGTGATAGTGCTGTTAGCCCTGAGTTCAACATTAATGAAATCAACAATATATGTTAAATAAGATGTCTTTGAACGGGAACAGTTTATGTACTCATCAGTTGATAAAAATGCTGTGACCAGGAACCTAACCATGCATTTCCCCACGGCCATTGTTCAGTATTTGATAATTCAGTGCTCCCTGTGATTTTATAGGATGCAACTACCACAAATAACAAGAATCAACTGTACTGGCCTCCTACCATAAGAAATACACATTCATAAAGACACAATAAAAGAAGATGTGCAAAGCTATGGTTTTTAGATGACTAAAAATTATCTTCTAAAATATCAAAAGAAATATCAAAGAAAATAGACTTTAATTATTATCATAGATGTCTTGGTGTCCTGTGAACAGGTTGGCCATGTTTGGTTGAACTGTAAAGACACACATAGTTCTTAAGGTATTGTGTATATACTCCATATTTTTTTTTCTTGCCTTCATTTCGGCAAAGACACCAATAATGTTGTTATAATAAAGATTTCCATATAGTTTGTTCTATGGTTAAGAATAAACCAAAGAATTAAAAATGTAATTGTATGCAATATATACAAAATATAAATATATTTTATCTAAGAGCAAATTTAAATAAATACTAAAATTGAAAAATTTAAATATTTATTTTTTATTGTTATCTTTCTTCCAAAAGTTAGTTTTCTATTAAAACTAAGAGAAAAAATAGAAATTGTGTTACATGAAATCAAAATGTATAATAAGTTGTTTACATAGAAATTATGATTAATACGTATCAACTTTTAAAATAAAACTTAATGTATTAACATTTTACACTTATTAAGTGTTTTAATAAAACCATTCACAGTTCTAGCTTTCAATATCTATCTAGTTGCCAACATAAAGCACTGGTATCACTCAAGCAACCTCTAGATCTATATATAAATTTAAAATAATATGATTGTTTAACATAGCAAAATGTCTCTTAGCTACTATGTGCAACTACTGAAAAGACCTTGTTAATTCCCAAGTACCTGCAGAACCACAAACAGGAGGAGAAGCAGGAAATGAATGCTGGGCAACACTGAGAAACAGTATTTTGTTGTACAAGAATAGAAGGATTGGGCCGGGTGCCGTGGCTCATGCCTGTAATCCCAGCACTTTGGGAGGCCAAGGTGGGTGGATCATTTGAGGTCAGGAGTTCAAGACCAGCCTGGCCAACATAGTGAAACCCTGTCTCTACTAAAAATAAAAAAATTAGCTGGGCGTGTTGGTGGGCGCCTGTAATCCCAGCCACTTGGGAGGCTGAGGCAGGAGAACTGCTTGAGCCTGGGAGGTGGAGGTTACACTGAGCCAAGATCAGGCCACTGCACTCCAGTCTAGGCGACAGAGTGAGACCCTGTATCAAAAAAAATCAATCAATTAATGGAAAATAATAGAAGGATTTGGCAAATTAATTAACTTACCTTTTCTGTCTCCCAAAAGATCTCACCACTTAAATTTTCCCTATACTCTGGAGTAGTGCTTTTGTCTGTGCTGACAACAGGGATGCAACCCCAGAATTTCCATAGCATTCAGATGCAGTCATTTACTGTTTCAAGGACATTAGACAAAGATGTTGAGAAGCATATCCCTGGGCCATGAACAATGTCAGTCATCAAAAGGGATATCTGAGGTCGAGCTGTGGCAGATCTGGGCCCTGAATCTGAGCCGTGTCTAAGAAGGTGCTGAGTACTCCTAATAAAGGTAAAAGGGGCTGCATTGAGAAGGAAAGTCGCTGCAAGCATTCCTGATCTCACTGGATCATGGTGCACATTAGGCCATTGGCTGGACACAGCCACATGGACGTCTGGTGACCGTGGCACGGTGCGCTGCATCTGAAGTACCCGCCTGGGTTGGCTACAGCTCTGAAATGAATTAAACCCTTTCTCCTGGTTGAAGCTGAGTTTCCTGCTATCAGCATAGCAGAAGACACTTGCAGCCTTAAGTACAAAATGAGGTAATATTGTGAAATGTTTATTGTTGTCCATGTGATTCTTGGAGGGCATCTAACTATGGATTCCTGTTCCATTGACTGGCCAAAGTCTATTCCCTCTTCCAACCTTTTGAATTAATTAAAGAAACACTTTTATTTTTTTTTGGTAACTGACTTACTTCTTCCACCTTAGACAACCAATTTCTCTTTGTTTTCTAAATGTAGCAACATACACTCTTTCCTAGGGCTCATCACGTTAATGGCAGCAAGAACAACAATAAAGGCAAGCGTTTCTGGAATGCTTACTAGCTGCCAGGCACTGTTCGAAGCACTTTAAATGTGTGCACGAATTTGTCCTCATAGCAAGCCCAAGAGATGAGCACATTTTTACCAGAGAGGAAACTGAGGCACAGAGGAGTTGAAGGGACCTGTCAGAGTAAGGTTACACAGGGAGTCTAACTCCAGTCCGTGTTCTTATGCAATTTGCTATATGATATTATGGGAAACGAAGAAATGGTACTTTTTATGTGCCATAGACATGCTTGGCTCATTTTACAGAAAAAAATAGATTTTCCTGCAAATGGGTTGAAAATAATACATACAAGAAAGAGCACTGTTATGTGTTCACTCATTGCTTTTCCTTCTGGGAGATGATGCCGTTGTCGATACCATTAATACTAGAAGTGGCTTCTATTTAGAACTCCTTATTGGCTTTTTTTTTTTTTTTTTGAGACGGAGTCTCACTCTGTTGCCCAGGCCTGGAGTGCAGTGGCACGATCTCGGCTCACTGCAAGCTCCACCTCCTGGGTTCACACCATTCTCCTGCCTCAGCCTCCTGAGTAGCTGGGACTACAGGTGCCCACGACTACGCCCGGCTAATTTTTTGTATTTTGTTTAGTAGAGATGGGGTTTCACCGTGTTAGCCAGGATGGTCTCAATCTCCTGACCTCGTGATCCGCCTGCCTCGGCCTCCCAAAGTGCTGGGATTACGGGCGTGAGCCACTATGCCCAGCTGGCATTTTTTTGATAAAGGGCCTCAGGTGTTCATGTAGAAAAGTGAACAGAAGAAAGAACTCCATGCAACCCATCACTGCTCAAAAATCTGCAAAGAACCTACAAACCTCAGGAATGTGTTTGCAATGCCCTGAAGTGTCACATTTCACTGGGCAGGAAACAGTTAAATAATTTCCCCCAAGGTCACCCCTAATGTCAGTAGAAGAGCTGGGCATGGAGCCCGGGTCTCTGGCTCCCCTCCCTGAATTTCAGGAAGCAAACTACACTCTGACATTTAATCAGTGAGACATTCTGTTTGTGTTTAAGCATTCCCTCGCAATATTTGCAACCCAAACCTTGTAGCATGGAGTCAGCGCCTGAGAAACTGGGAAGGACATCTGACCCAAAGCCAAACCGCCAGTACTAGATGTAGAAAGAATAAGTTAAATCTAGCCATGTTCAATAAATGATGCCATTAAAAAATCGTCTCTGAAGACTTTCTCCTAATCCCCAATGTGAACACAGGTCAAATTACATTATGGTAGATGTGGTCATTATAAGATTCCTGATCCTCAGCCAATGGCCCTCTCCCTTATTTCCAGCATATTCCTTGCAACCAAATTCTAGGACATTCTCTGAGAATTTGCTACAGAGGGATTTGATCTGTACCCTAAAAGGGTACCATCACACATCTAAAAGAGTGGAAGGCGTGCAATGGATGGCGACCGTCTATTAGCAGGAGGTTGAACTGCATGGTCTATTTTTCAGAACTCTGAGCGCTGAGCCAAGATTAAAGCAAGAGAACTGTCATGAAGGATTGGTGTTTTAGGCCTGAGGCAGCTTTGGTTTCACCTTGTCTACAATTATGGAAAGGCCTACATCTTGCCTGTTCTGGGTGGAAGAACAGACTGAAAAACGTTTACGCGCTTTACAAAACAGCTACATTTCCCTCTTGTTTTTCACCCCCCGTCCCCACCCTGCCTTCACCTTGGAGATGATCCTGTCAATTCAGTCCTGAAAAAGAACTTTCTTTCAGAACAGCTTCTTCCTGGTGCTCTCACTCCTTGACACTGGCCAAGGGTCCTCTTTGCCTCCAGAGGATGGATCCATCTTCCCCTACCGTGGAGACCATGAGAAGAAACATGGAGACACCAGGAGGCTTCAATTCGTCTCATACTGGAGTCTTCTTGTTGCATCTCTTTGTTTTCACATGACTATCTGCCAGGTTTCTGACTCTTTGTATCCCAGGAACCTTGTCTGGAGTCTTCATCACTGCCTGACTGGCCTTTGGGCCCCAGGATATGCCTTCCTGGGTCTATGGAAACTCACTAAGCCCTGAAAGACTGGTGGACTTTCTCATTCATCTGATTCAGAGTGAATGTATCTTGTGTATGTGAAGTCCCAGACTGGGCCACTCTTGGTATATGCTGTCCAATCTTAACACAGTATTAGTGAGCAGGAACCACCCATATAAGAACATAACTAGAAACCCCATCATGGGCTCAACGATCCCCTGTCAATGGGTGACAGTCACTCTGTGCCAGACTGGTCTGCCTGACACCACAGAGTCCACCAATGTGTGATCCATTGTATGGAAGGCATGCTTCAGACTGTCCCTTCAAAGCTCCTTTGTAGTCCTTTAGAGATTGTTTCAGTGGCCTTCCCTGGAGTGTTCTAGTTTGATTATGTCTTCTCTGTTGGATGTAAGGTCATACTGTAAGTCTCCAAAAGCCTATGATGTGATTTTCACTTGAATTTTCTACTAACACACAGTCCAGACAATTTGCTGCCTAAACATGATAGAATTAAGTAACAGTTTAATGTTTCCTATTAGCCATATGATTCTCATCTACTAAAAAAGATACCTGTATTAGTCTGTTTTCACACTGCTGACAAAGACATACCCGAGACTGGGTAACTTACAAAAGAAAGAGGTTTAATTGGACTTACAGTTCCAGTGGCTGGGGAAGACTCACAATCATGGCGGGAGGCAAGGAGGAGTAAGTCCCATCTCACATGGATGGCAGCAAGCAAACAGAGGGAACTTGTGCAGGCAAACTCCTGTTTTTAAAGCCATCAGATCTCATGAGACTCATTCACTATCACGAGAACAGCGCAGGAAAGACCCACCCCCCTAATTCAATCACCCCCCACCAGGTCCCTCCCACAACATGTGGGAACTATGGGAGCTACAAGATGAGATTTGGGTGGGGACACAGAGCCAAACCATATCAATACCCAAATTGTTCATTCTGGGAATCTCTCCCTGGTGCCCTAGTGTGTATCCTTTCCTCCCTCCCTCCCGTCCCTCCCTCCCTCCCTCCCTCCCTCCTTCCTTCCTTCCTTCCTTCCTTCCTTCCTTCCATCCTCCCTTCCTTCCTTTTCACAAATTGAATATCACCTATTAGTCAGGTACTGAGAGAAGGGGCATTTATAACACTAGGCAATGAATGTTATAGTAGAAGCAAACATGTGGCTTAATTTGAAAGACCTCATACTTTTTAACTTAAAAAATTAAATGTTAATTTTATAAGAAAACATAATTACTTGTTTAAATCACGATAATTTATCTTAGATAATTTACATTCTCTGTTATGTTTACTAATTATGTTCATGGGCTGATTGAATTAAAAGTTGCTATATTACAGGCCAACCTATTGCTCGATAACAACTAAAAGTAATACATTCATCTATGTATGTGTATATCCTAATAATTTATACAATTTCATGTCTACAGACTATATTTATCTATTTATACACACATACGTCTTTACCCTAATATTTAGAAAGAAACCAAACCATCGTTAAACCACACACATATATAGAGATAATTATAAATAGGTAAATACATAATGTTCCTTTGAAGGTCACTACCATGGCCTCAGTAATCATTAAAATGATTCAGTTGATGCTATTTGTTAAATGCTCCTGATTCTGACAGCACATCCAAAGTGCACTCATCAGTAATCAGAAGTTCTGGACGACTTTGCCAAGGTTATGTCATGCTACGTGGAGACATGGATGGTGGAATTTGAGTCTTAGTCTTCTGTGCTTGATCAATATGCTAGAAAAAGGGTATATATATATTTATCTAAATAAGTATATATTATATATATTTGTATATATAATTTATTTATGTTTATACATATGTGTGGTTTTAGTGACTTTTCTTTTATTGTTGCTATTATTTGCTTTGTTTTAAATAAAGTTCATTCATGAGCTACACAGTACATCCAAGATTGACTCACCTAAATGATGCTGTAACTTTCAGCCAAAAGAGCAGTCTACATTTTCCGAATTCATTTTCTTGTTTTTCTTCAATGTGTGGGGTTTTTTTGGAGGCCAGGGTAAATAACAGCAAATTGAAACTTTGTATTTATTTGTAACTTTGTATTTGCATTTATTCCTCATAAATACATTATTTTAAAAAATCTAAGCATCCAATGAACATTGGAAATAGTTCAATGTTATCACTTTAAATGTGGAATATATAAGAAAAGAAAATGTAATTACTTATTTAAATCATCATACATAAATTATCTATTTATAGATAATTTATAATTTATCTACTATATGAATTATACTTAAATCTTTAACAATTTTTAATAATCTAGCAATTGTAATACTTCATGATATCCAATTTTATATTTCAGAGAATAAATAGTATTAATTATCTGAAAATATTTAAGAAGAAAAGTTAAAAAAATTCGAAGAGAAATGTAGTACTTTCTGAATAAGGGGCTTGTGGAATGTTTTTCCTTTTTTCCTTTTTTCATGTTTTTTTACTATTATCAAGGTAGTATGCTGTACACAGTCAAAGAGTAATATATTTTATAATGAAAAACATGTTTCCAACCCCACTCTTTCCCACACCCTCAGAGACAATTCATATTGCTAAATAACATATTTTCTCCATAATTTCTAGATTTATCACTTTTAGGCCATTCTCTCTTGACTTTCTATTACAGTAGATCAGGACCTGGCTCTCTTACATTACCATCACCTTCCTTCCACTCTTCTCATTTCCCAATAAAGATAAAACAAAATGTTTGTTTAATCAATATTCAGCAATGACAGTATCTTGATTCTATAAATACTGCTTATTTCTGAGCCAAGATTATATTTTCTTACTCAGACAACTTTTGAGGATTTTTTTTCTAATGGTGGTAATAATCACCTTACATTTTTATTGCTTAGTTTTCTGTGTACCTAATTCTTCACCAGGGCTCCAACAGAGTCAACCATTTGTTTGTTCCTTCAACAGATATACTACTAACACCTCTATGTTGGGCACCGTTCTAGGTTCTACAGATTCATCAGCAGACGAAAGAAACAAAAACCCCTGCTCTTTGACAGTTTACCTTCTAGTGGGGGAAAAGTCAACAATTTAAAGTAAACATAATGACTTAGTAAGTATTATTATTTTTAGAATATGAAATGTGCTCTGGGAAGATGTCACGCAGGTTACAGATGGAGACCAGGGCAAATCAATGAATCCATGTCCATGCTCAGTAGGGAAGCGAAAACCAGGAGTGCTGAGGGAGGGGCTACAATTTTAAACGGGTTGGCAGTATGGGCCTCATTGAGGTTGAAAGTGAGAAAAGAGTTAAAGGAAATTAAAAAGTGAGCCAGGTAAATGTGAAGGGCCGAGGCAGGTGGATTGCATGAGGCCTGGAGTTTGAGACCAGCCTGGGACACATAGTCAGATTCCATCTTTACAAAAAAAAAAAGAAAGAAAGAAAGAAAGAAAAAAGAATGGAGAGGATTGTCCCATATCAAGGGAATATCTATCTAGGACAATGTGGGCCCTGAGGAAGGGGCATGCTAGGGTGTTCAAGAACCCACAAAAGGGGAATGATTGCCAGGACAGAGTGAGGGAGAGCATCTGGGGTCCATTTTGTCTGTCTTTATAAAGACTTTAATTTTTATCCTGAGAGGGGCTGAAAGGTTTTGTTTAGCTTCAAACAAAAGTTGTTTCATCTGAAGACAATGAAATCTGCCTTTTATCTTAACAGATTATAGCTACATCCAGTGGGTTTAATGGATAGATAATAACCAGTCTATATTACAAGTGGCCCAAACCCCCAAAAGTTCGTGTATGCCATACATGAGATCAGTAGCTCCGATGGGAATAGCTGAATCATTCACCCATGCATGTTTTTCCATACTAAAGTTGGCATCCCAGTTATCTTCCCTAGGTGCATGGCCTCTAATCTGATGTCAACATCACATTCGTCATTTCTCTCCTCTCTTTCTGGAGGATGCAATCCCAAACACACGCACAGTTATTTTCTTCTCAGCACTGACCTTAAACTTACTCTTCATAATGGAACTCGTCAAAGACAAATCATACTCTTAAAGAAGCAACAGTGATGAAATGTGTTTCAGGCTGCCCTTTAGAACAAAACAAAAGCTGCTTCTCTTAATGAGGTAAACCTTTCTCCAGCTCCCTTGCTTTAATTAGTGCTACTACATATATTAAAAGCTGTTTGTACAGGACATAGAGTTAGTGTCACATAAATAAAGAATCATGAGGAGACCAGCAGAAAGGTATAGCAGCAAAAAATTTGCCTTCTAGCTTTTCAACATTTTGGTTAATTCAACAAGGAATCTTTGCAGGGTATTGTCAGAAAAATGCCAAGACTCCATCAAATACTACTTCTATCTCTGCCACTCCAGCTAACCCCTGCAATCCTGTGGCCACTCACTCATGATTTGTAGATCATTTACTCCAGCTTTCAGAAGATTAATATAGGTTGGTTTTGCAAAAGTAAGTATGTGACAAGGTGGGCTGCAACAAGAATCAGCAGTCCTGGTTCCAACCCTTGCTCTGCTAAGAAACAGAGCCCTCTTTCCACCTAGAAAGCAGCGTATGGTTGACCGCCCTCCCTCCAAGCCCACAAAAGCACAATCCAATTACTTGCCCTGAATACTATGAGCTTCTGTCAATACACTCTCAGGGACAAGCTTAGTACTTTATGTTCTCAAAACAATTAGTCCCAGTGACTCCTGGGAAAGAGGTTATTTGTGAGGCGATTTGCAGAAAGGAAAGATTTGTTCAAAATCGGTAGTATGATAAAGCACACTGAATGCTACATCTCAAATAATCATATTACTTATTTCAAACAGAAGGCATTTCAGTGGCACTATACGTTGTCCCTGGATAACCAGGAGCTTGCTTGTCTAGTACTCTGAGGTACTGACAGAATTCTGGATTATAGTTCAGTCAGAAATAACTTGTTCTTTCCCAAGGCCAAGACAGGATATATACACACGATTATTTCATCCAGCAAAACCTTGTGGAACCCTGTGCTAACAAGCCTTCCTTTGCAGTTCCCACGTCGCCAGGTGTACTATGAGGACCTTTGCTGTTAGTACTCGCTCCCTAATGACTTCTGAAAAGTTGTAGCTTTAAGAGACTTTGTCTTTTAATTGAGGCACAATTATCTTCTAGTATTAGACCTAAAAAAAATACCTGACAGTGAATTGAAGTGAAGGTGGTCACATCTTAGGCTGATGGCTGATTTTTAAAGGGAGATCAGAAATGCTGTATACTTATGCCAATTCTGCTTTGTTGGAGGCTCCATGATTTTACCTGTTATTTGTTCTGGAATCCTTATTAAAGTTTTGATCCAAAACCAAAAAAAGAAAAAAAAGAAAGAAAGGAAGGAAGGAAGGAGGTGGGGGAGGGATGGAGGGAAGGAAGAAACGAAGGCAGGAAGGTGAGACAGAAAAGAAAAGAAAGAAAGAAAGAAAAGAAAGAAAGAAAGAAAGAAAGAAAGAAAGAAAGAAAGAAAGAAAGAAAGAAAGAAAGAAAGAAAGAAAGATTTAGAAACCAGAGCAGACTGACCGTTAATATATAAGAGACTGTCTCCATCGTTTCTCTGGGTATCTATCACAGGGTCAGTGGCAGGCAAGCTAGTCTTGGCCCCTGTCCAGAGGACTCATTCCTGTGAATCTTGGAAAATATCTTGTTATAACAAACTTATTGTATATCAGAAACCCCACTATGAAGGGTTAACTCAACGGTCCTTTTACACAGGAAAATACTTGAGGGCAATTTGTACATCCTATAATGTCTCAAAAAGGACAGTACCCAGCAAAAGATTTTGCAGTCCCTGTGTTTTAGAAATAATGTGATTCTCAAAGGTAGCCCATAATAGAAACCATCAAACAAGAGTTGTCCAGCTCTCCAGGGTGATGGGGCGGAACCATTTGATTCAGAAATCCCACTCCACAGTTCAGCAGAAAAACACAGACATGCGTCCTAAGAAATAAACGAAGGACATGAGGAAATGCTCTGGTTCTCTTTTGTCTACCCTAAAAGGTTCAGATATTTGGGGGTTTTAGCACACTCTAGTTTCATAAATAGTAGGCTAGGAAGGTTTGCTCAACCATTGAAGACTACCTACCATGCCTCCTCTGATGACCGTGAATTTGATGTTAAATGTTTCATGGGATTACCAACTGAAAAACTCTCGACTTCAGAATCACCCAAAGCTTTCACTTCCCATCTCGAGTCCCAAAATGCGTCATGAACTCAACCCTGAACCCAGGTGGCAGGCTGCATCAGAGAATTTTGAGGACGTTTCTTTCTAAACACAGGCGGATTAGAAAGCAGAGCACCCGCAAATAGGTTAATGAACCTTGGCATTGCCGGAGTTGTCAAGACCAACTGTTGAGAATTCCCGTGGAGTTAAGTAGGATGTGAATCTGGCTCTGAGTAGATATCATTACCTATGCTGTCTGACTTCCTGCTCACAGGTTTTGCAGCGCACTTGGGCTTTCACCCTTCAGCTCAACTGTTTGGTGGCAGTTGGATTGGGGGTGGCTGAGAGTATTGTTTAAAATGCTTCTCTTCATGGGCAGAGGCCTTGGTGTTTATTCTTGGAGCTGTCTTTGCCATAGAATGCTTTTTGAAAAATTCATCACACTCAATTCATGTTTATGTACCAGGAAAGCAAGCAATCAGCTTATGTTCTCAGAAAAAGAACTGGAACTGGTCATTTACAGTGTGGCATTTTGGTGCTTAATAGTCATGAGACATAGAAAAGAAGAAAAACAGCAGTAACATCCTGCGCTCTAAATGCAGAACGTCTTAGGTCCAAACCCTCAAATCCTTACTATCTTGATGACCTGCATGAAGAACATGTTCAGTGTATTCTAGTGTCAACCTCTGATTGAAACATATGATACAAACAGAAAGTGCATGTATTGTAAGTGTACCCTCCATACATCCCCATGAAGTGAACGCACCCATGTAACCATAATGAAGACCAAAAACCAGGACACTATCAGCACCCAGAAACACCACTTATGCCTTTTCTAGTCTAGCCCCTCAGGAGTAACCACTACGCTGGCTTCCAACACCTGGGGTTCTTTTTGTTTGTTTTGAACTCTACACAAATGGAATCACACAGTATATACTCTTTTTCATCCGGCTTTTTTCAAGTATGTAGAGATTGTACAAATATGTCCGTATTAACAAGCCTTTTACATCATTGTCCTGTTGACAAGGAAATCATTCATCTGCAACAGTTTGCTAGTGCAACAGTTTGCTCTCTTCACTATGAG